>NC_000001.11:52887168-53038683 GCF_000001405.40 Homo sapiens | reverse complement strand
CCTGTAATCTCAGCACTTTGGGAGGCAGAGGTGGGGGGATCACTTGAGCCCAAGAGTTGGAGGCCAGCCTGGGCAACATAGTGAGACCTGGTCTCTACTAAAAATAAAAAAATTAGCCAGGCATGGTGGTGCATGCCTGTGGTCCCACCTACTCAGGAGGCTGAAATGGGAGGATCACTTGAGCCCAGGAGTTTGAGGTTATGGTGAGCTATGATCATGCCACTGCACTCCAGCCTGGGCAACAAAGCAAGACCTTGTCTCAAAAAAGAACAAAAAGGGCTTTTTAGATACAACTGGTGGAAGGGAAGGAGGGACAGGGCAGCATTTTCTGCCAAAATAGCCCTCGTATGTTTCAATAAGTTGGGAAAGATTCACTCTGGCATCTTTAATGTAGAGATCCCAACCTGCCCTTCTCCGTGTGTGTGTGTGTACACACACATATATAAATGACATATATATATAAGCGTATAAATGGTATATATATAAACACATATAAATTATATATATATACACATATAGGTTTTTTTTCTTTTTTTTTGAGACAAGGTCTCACTCTGTCACCCAGGCTGGAGTGCAGTGGCACAATCAGGGCTCACTGCAGGGTCGATCTCCAGTGCTCAAGCAATCCTTATACTTCAGCCTCCCCCAAGTAGTTGGGACTACAAGCATGTGCCACCACAACTGGTTAATTGAATGTGTGTGTGTGTGTGTGTGTGTGTGTGTGTGTGTGTGTATAGAGACAGGATCTGGATCTGTGTGTGTGTGTGTGTGTGTGTGTGTGTGTGTGTGTGTGTGTGTGTGTGTATGTAGAGACAGGATCTCCCTATGTTGCCCAGGCTGGTCTCAAACTCCTGGGCTCAAGCAATCCTCCTGCCTCAGCCTCTCAAAGTGCTGGGATACAGGGGTTAGCCACCACAGCTAGCCTTATGTATATTTTTGGTTCCTTGCAATCAGAACTTAAAGACAAGTGGTTCTGAAATCAAGGCCTTTTTTGTTGTTGTTCAACTCATTTTCTCTATCAGTATAAAGAATTATAGGAGTAATATACCATCCACCACTTGCTTTTGGACATCGGGGAAAGAAGCTGGCCTAAATACAGAAAAAAAACTCAGACCTATATCTCTGCAAGGGGGTTTCCCTTCTCCCTCCCGTCCTCTTTTTTTTCCCTTCATTCCCAGCCTTTCCTTCCTGAAGCATTTATTGAGCCAAATATTGTTACAGGCACCAAGGATATAGAGATAGGAGTCAGAAAAGTAAGTAATGTCAATACGCTATGATCACTATGACAATACGCTGCGATCAAGGGAAACACAGGGGACTGCAGGAGCACAGAGGAGCAGCTAAGCCAGCTGGCAGGGTGAATAACAAAAGGAGGACAACAAACTCACACACCTTGTTTAAAAGAAACAAGAGCAACCTAATAATTTTATTGAAAAAAAATTTTTAGAGAAGGAACATTTATTTCACTGTGGAAAAATTAGAAAATATCAGTAAGCAAGAAGAAGAAAATATAAATCATTCATCATTTATTATTATTATTATTTTTTGAGACAGAGTCTTGCTCTCTCACCCAGGCTGGAGTGCAGTAGCATGATCTTGCCTCACTGCAACCTCTGCCTCCTGGGTTCGAGCGATTCTCTTGCCTCAGCCTTCTGAGTAGCTGGGACTACAGCACACGCCACCATGCTAATTTTTTGTATTTTTAGTAGAGACGGGGTTTCACTATGTTGGCCAGGCTGGTCTCGAACTCCTGACCTCAAGTGATCCACTGCCTCAGCCTCCCAAAATGCTAGGATTACAGGTGTGAGCTACTGCACACGGCCAAAATCATTCATAACTTTATCACTCAAAGAAAATCATTTTTGGTACATATATATGCAGAGAAAAAAAATGGGTTTTGTACCAAAAACAAGAAAATCTTTCTGTAAACAGAAAAAGTAGATTACAAAATATGATCTCATTTAAGATATATATCTTTTAAATGGAATCTGTTTAATTATATTAAACAGAAAAGATTATATATATATGTATCTTAAATGGGATCTGTTTAATTATATTAAACAGAAAAAGTAGATTACAAAACAATATGATCCCACTTAAGATATATATATATAAGATTTATATATGCTACATATATATTATTATATATATATTCAAGAAGGTCTAATAACTTGGCTAGGTTTGTAGAAGTACAAGGAAGAGCAAGAATTCAAACCTATTTTGATTCCTAGATTTGGTGTTCTTAATTAGCAAAGTTTAATTCTAGGGATTTACCCTTAAATAAATGAGGCTCTGTAAAAATATTTAGATATGAGAATGTTATTCACAGCATTGTTTTAAGAGCCAGAAGTTAGCACGAGCCTGAATAACAATTAACAGGGTATTGATTAAATAAAATATAGTATATATATGTTATATATAAAGCTTTTATATATATATCTTAAATGGGATCATATTGTTTTATAATCTACTTTTTTTGTTTAATATAATTATCCTAATTACTGTGTCACTAATAATATTCTACATAATTTTAAATGGTCACATATAGTCTTTAATTGTAAAAGTATACCATATTTATTTAACCAATATCCTGTTGATTGTTATCAACAAGTTAGCCAAGTTACTTTCTGAATCTCAGTTTTCTTTTTTTTTTTTTTTTTTTTTGAGACGGAGTCTCGCTCTGTCGCCCAGGCTGGAGTGCAGTGGCCTGATCTCGGCTCACTGCAAGCTCCGCCTCCCGGGTTCACGCCATTCTCCTGCCTCAGCCTCCCGAGTAGCTGGGACTACAGGCGCCCGCTACCACGCCCGGCTAATTTTTTGCATTTTTGTATGAATCTCGGTTATCTTATCTGTTAAATGGGAATAAAACAGTAACTACCCTCACAGAGCTGTAAGAGAATTATGTAAATACCCACAACACACAGAGTACTCAATGAATGTTAGCATCTTGTTGTTGTTGTTTTATTCTATGATCTAGCTATTTCTGTGCCAATATTATAGCTTTATAATACACTTTACTCTGACACAGCAAATCTCAATTATAATTCTTCTCTTCCAAATATTCTTGGCTATTTTGGATTTTTTTTTGGACACATTTTCCTTTATATGTACTTTATAATCACTTAGTTCTTCTCCCAAAATGTTGTTGGAGTTGGATGGGGTTACATAAAATATATAGATCTGTTTAGGAGAGAGGTAGTATCTTCACAATATTAAGTCTTCCCATCCACGAATATAGTAAATCTTCACCTTTTCTTTAATGTCCTTTGGGAAAATGTTGTCTTTTTTTTGCCAACATAGACTTCTGTACATTTCTTGATAAGTTTATTCTTAGGTATTTTATATTGTTTTTGTTAATAGCACATCTTTGCATTAAATTTTATGGCCAGGTTATTGCAAATATATAGAAAATATACTAATCTTTTAATGTTTATTTTGGAACTGGCAACCTGTTGAGTTCTCTTTAATTTCTAATAGCTTTTATTTCCTATCTTCTTTATTTCAGCCTTACATATCTGCAATAATTTATACACAAAATTCTTCCTTTTGGTATCATATTAATTTTTTTTTTTTTCTTTGAGACAGAGTCTCACTCTGTCACCCAGGCTGGGAGTGCAGTGGCGTGATCTCAGCTTACTGCAAGCTCCGCCTCCCAGGTTCATGCCATTCTCCTGCCTCAGCCTCCCAAGTAGCTGGGACTACAGGTGCCCGCCACCACACCTGGCTAATTTTTTGTATTTTTAGTAGAGACGGGGTTTCACCGTGTTAGCCAAGATGGTCTCAATCTCCTGACCTCATGATCCGCCTGCCTCGGCCTCCCAAAGTGCTGAGATTACAGGCGTGAGCCACCGTGCCTGGCCTCATAATATTAATTATTTTAAGAAAGACTTAAGTGTTTACAATGTTCAGGCACTCTGATAAGTACCTGAAATACTCAAATAATTACTGCCCCTGAGGAATTTACATAAACTGACATTAGATACTAACCTCTGTTTCTAAGTATGCAGAGAGCCTGGCCTAAGTTCACTATTTCTTTTTGTTGTGTTTTGTTTTACAACAGCATTGAGATATAATTTATATCCTATAAAATTCACTCTTTTAAAATATTCAATTCAGTGGTTGTTTTAGTATATTCAAGGTTGTACAACCAAAACCACTATCTAATTTTAGAGCATTCTCATTAACCCCAAAAGAAACTCATACCCATTAGCAGTCATTCCCTGTCTCCTCCACCCCTCAGTCCCCGGCAACCACAAATCTACTTCCTGTCTCTATAGATTTGCTTATTCTGGACATTTCATATAAATGAAATCATATATTTGTGACTGCTTCTTTCACTTAAGCATGACGTTTTCAAGGTTTATCCACATTGATGCATACATCGATCAGTCTTTCAATCTTTTTTTTTTTTAAATGGAGTCACTCTGTCACCCAGGCTGGAGTGCAGTGGCATGTTTCAACTCACTGCAACCTCCTCCTCCCGGGTTCAAGTGATTCTCCTGCCTCTGCCTCCTAAGTAGCTGAGACTACAGGCGCGCACCACCACGTGCCAAAAAAAAGTACTAAAAATTTTGGTGTTTTTAGTAGAGATGGGGTTTTACCATGTTGGCCTGGCTGGTCTCAAACTCCTGACCTCGAGTGATCCACCCACCTCGGCCTCCCAAAGTGCTGGGATTACAGGCATGAGCCACCATGCCCGGCCTCCTTCAATCCTTTCTACAGCTAAATAATATTCCATTGTATGGATGTAACATGTTTTGTTTATGTATTCAGCAGCTGATGGTTGTTTTCATTTTTTCCTATTATGAATAATACTGCTATAGACATTTGTGTACAAGTTTTCATGTGAACATAGGCTCCTAATTTCTTTTGGTTACATATCTAGAAGTGTAATTGCTGGGTCATAAGGTGATGTTTAATTTTTTAAGGCACTCCCAAAGTGGCTACATCATGTCACAATGCTACCAGCAATTAATGAGGGTTTCCAATTTCTCCACATCCTCACAAACAATTGTTATTGTCTTTTTTATTTTAGTCATCCTACTGGGTGTGTCAACCTTTTTTTTTTTTTTTTTTTTTGAAATGGAGTTTTGCTCTGTCTCCCAGGCTGGAGTGCTGTGGTGCAATCTCAGCTCACTGCAACGTCTGCCTCCTCGGTTCAAGTGATTCTCCTGCCTCAGCCTCCCAAGTAGCTGGGATTACAGGCACACGCTACCACACACAGCTAATTTTTTTGTATTTTTGGTAGAGATGGGGTTTCACCATGTTGGCCAGGCTGGTCTTGAACTCCTGGCCTCAAGTGATCCACCCACCTCGGCCTTCCAAAGTGCTGGGATTACAGGCGTGAGCCACTGTGCCCGGTATGTCAACCTTTTTCTTACATATAGGTACATTCCCTGAGAGCCACCTGGAATCTTAGACATGGGTCTTAGGACTAAATATTTTGTTTTATCCTAAAATATTTAGTTTTAATAAGTAGTCCTAAAATGTTTAGTTTTAATAAGTAGTCCTAAAATATTTAGTCAGGGACTACTTATCTGAATAGTCATGGCAGCATCTCTTACATGTGAGTATCCTGAAATTAACTACCAATATTTTCTACTTAAACCAAGAAACCAAAATGACTGTCAGGTTTTTCTTTTAAGTGAAAAAGAAATTCTCTTATGTTGGCTTCCCTTAAAAGAGCTCACTTAAATTATTTTAAGTTAACTGTAGAAAAAAACTACTAACAATACTAATATTTTGAGGGCCCTTCAAGTTTTTAATACTTTTGTATTAAATATATTTTGTATATATAATTTCTTTAATCTTCACAAAACCATACAAATAGTTGGGCAGACATTAGTATTAGCTCATTAAGCAGAAAAAGCAATTGAGGCTTATAAAGATTAAGAATGCTTCTCCTCTATACTGCTGCCAAGTAGTCCATCTAACACTAACATATCCATCTGACACTCTCAGGCTTGAACTTCTTAGTGGCTCCCCACAGCCAACAGGATGAAGTCTGTCTTTACATATTATCCTAGAGTCTTCATGATCCGAAGGATATTTGTCTGTTCTTATCTCCAGCCACTTTCTCTTCCTCTTCATCTCTGAATTCCATGAACATGTTGAATTCCATGAACTTACGTGCCAAGTGCTTGTATGCCTCCATGCCCTTACTCATACCCCATCCCAGGACACTCACTTCTTCCTAGCCTCTACTCCCACCCCTGACCTCATCATTCAAATCTCAGCTCACATGCTAACTCTTTTGGGAAGGAGTCTCTATCTCCACCAGATATTTTGATGGCCCTCTGCACATAAACCCATGTTGCTTTTTTCTGGAAATATTTTTCCATGTCTCTCTTCCCACTAAACTCTGTGTTCCCTGAGAGGCAGGGACATATGGCTAGTGGGTAGTACAACCAGAACTCAATCCCAGGTTGCTTTAATCCCAAATTCAATGCTACTTCCATTTGACCATACCACACTGAAACTGTAGGTCACATCAACATTTCTAAACTTTAGCCGATGACAGCAGAGCTGTATCTGGCACCATAAAATGAAGAAAGTTCAAAGTCTTCTTCACATTCCTTAAAATCTTTTATCTCTCAAGGTTCTGTAGAAATAATATAGGAGAGGGGGTTAATAGTGTGCTAGGCCACCTGAGAGGAAAGCTTTCTCTAGAGCCAGTGGCCCATGAATGACTATTTCCAGGTGCATCCATGCCATCTGCTTGCACAGTGCCTCAGGAATACAGCTATGTGCAGACACCAACAAGTTACAGCAGGAAAACACCAGCAAACATTTAGAAATTCTACCTGCATACTTGAAGAGAAATTCCTATAACCTTACTACTTCTCCTCCCACCTCCTTAAAATAGATAGAGAATAATCTGCACTTGCTGCTACTTTTCAGAAACAACTGATCCTCTTATAAAATCACATCCCTTCGACAATAAAACATTTTCAATTGAAGTGGGAGTGAGAGAGGGTAAGGAAACTGATGAGGAGAAAGAGTTTAAAGGGAAAATAAAATACAGTTGTGAAATTGGAGATCATTAGTACTGAGAAAGTTCTGAGTGCCTCCTTGCTTGAAGAAAAGTACTTCTTTCTGAGTAGGCAAAAGGTTAAGGAGTAGGTCCTGTGGCAAACTTAATAGGGACAAAAAATTAAGACAGAATTCAAAGAAGGGCAATGGAGAATTGCTAACAAAGACAAAAGTGGAAATAAAATCTTTTGCCAGGCTGCCTTTGCTAATGCAGAAAATGCATGAATTGACAAAAGATTCCAAGACTTTTACTTTCTAGTGCTGCAAACACTTAGGAAACTGACAATCGTGGGAAGGAGAAAGAAACAAGGGAACAAGGTTGGTAGGGAGGTTATAGAGAAAAGAATTAAAATGGAGCAAGAGGCATACATTTGCAAAGCTAAAAGAATACTGTAAAATAAAAACCACACTAATTTGTAAATCCCAGTAATGAAGTATTCAATGACTGATATACTGCCATATCTCATACTTCATAGTAGATAATCTCTACATTAATTTAGTTGATTTTTTTTTTAGATGGAATAGGGTTGAAATAAATGAAGCAACTTGTCAGACGCCACTATCCTATGTGTTCCTCTGCAGGAATATATTGGCAGCATTTTTAAAAACCAAAACTTTTAAGCCGAGACTTTATAGAGTGCAACTTCATTTTATAGGAACACTTGTAATGAAAGAAGTTCAAGAAACAATGAGATATTTTTTCCTACTAGGTTGGCAAAGCCTTTTTTTTTTTTTTTTTTTTTAATTTTTTTGAGGTGGAGTCTCGCTCTGTCACCCAGGCTGGAGTACAGTGGCGTGATCTTGGCTCACTGCAACCTCCGCCTTCCAGGTTCAAGCGATTCTCCTGCCTCAGCCTCTCTAGTAGCTGGGACTACAGCTATCTGGGACTGCGCCATCATGCCTGGCTAATTTTTATATTTTTAGTAGAGACAGGGTTTTGCTATGTTGGCCAGGTTGGTCTTGAACTCCTGACATCAAGTGATCCACCCGCCTCAGCCTTCCATAATGCTGGGATTACAGGGGTGTGCCACTGTGCCCAGCCCAGAGATTTTTTTAAAAACCAGCCAACATAGTATCAGAGGTGTGAAGTAAAAATAGTTAGTCTCCAACATAGCAAGACCCCATCTTTACAAAAATAAAAATAAATAAATGTTTTAAAAGGAAAAAATAGTCACTCTCATGAATTGGTAATGTTTGTAAGTTAGTACTCTCTTTCTGGTGGGTAGTTTGGCAATATGTATCAGCATACAAAATGCACGTAGCCAACCACCCAACAATTTTCCTCCTTTATTTATATTAAATTGATCATAGCTTAAATACTTAAATATGAGTGCAACAGGAAATTTATTACAGCACTGTTTTACTTGAAAATGTTAAATACAACCTGATATTCATCACAGGAAGCTACTTAAATTTTGACAAATACATATGAATACATACTATGTATTAAAAATGAGGGTAAACGGCCGGGCACGATGGCTCATGCCTGTAATCCCAGCACTTTGGGAGGCCAAGGTGGGAAGATGACGAGGTCAGGAGATAAGAGACCACCCTGGCAAATATGGTGAAACCCCATCTCTACTAAAAATACAAAAATTAGCTGGGTGTGGTGGCACGTGCCTGTAATGCCAGCTACTCGGGAGGCTGAGGCACGAGAATCGCTTGAACCCGGGAGGTGGAGGTTGCAGTGAGCCAAGATCGCGCCACTGCACTCCAGCCTGGGTGACAGAGCGAGACTTTGTTTCAAAAAAAAAAACAGGGGGTAAAGATTTAGATTTATGGCCATGGAACATAATGTCAAAAGAAAAACATAGGTTATAAAACAGGTAGCCCCATGTGGATGCATCCCAAGATGGTTGCAGGACAGGTCTGCAGCTTCTAGGCCAATGCCTGGCCCTGCTCTCCCTCAGGACGGTTGTAGATTATAATGAAAGTCCTGGGAATACTGGGTTCTTTCACAAGACACATCAGTTATATCACCTGTATTCCCATCCACAGTGCAATCATCTCAGATATTAAGTAGTCCTCTGGCCTACAATAAGGGTTATGAGATAAGCACAATGTTTGCCTTTCACACCATGGCTCTAACGTGAGTGAAATACAGTTTAAACATTCTATTTATTCCAGCCCACTTTGATCACCTTAATAGATGTGTAATTTGCATTGTGATTATGGCTGTAACCATGCCTTATACGGTCTCAGATCTAAAATCCATAATGAAATACATCCAGGCAGAGGCTCACGCCTGTAATCCCAACACTTTGGGGGGCCAAGGTGAAAGGATCACTTGAGCCCAGGGGCTCAAGGCTGCAGTGAGCCGTGATCATGCCACTGCACTCCATTCTGGGCGACAAAGTGAGACTCTGTTTCAAAAAAAAAAAAAAACAGAAAGAGATCCCAAGATTCTTCTAAGTTTAAAACAATGAAATAAATATCAATTTTGCGTGAAGAGAATAACTTTCTTTCTGGAGAGTTATTTTTAGATTGCCTTAGTATGATTATTACCTATCAAGAACTAATTATTGTATATAAAAATAGATCCGCATATATAGTATAATAAAAAACAACAGGTGTTGTGGTGGGCACGGTGGCTCACCCCTGTAATCCTAGCACTTTGGGAGGCCAAGGCGGGTGGATCACTTGAGGTCAGGAGTTCAAGACCAGCCTGACCAACATGGTGAAACCCTGTCTCTACTAAAAATACAAAAATTAGCCTGGCGTGGTGGTGGGTGCCTGTAATCCCAGCTACTCAGGAGGCAGAGGAACAAGAATCACTTGAACCCGGGAGGTGAAGGTTGCAGTGACCCAAGATCATACCACTGCACTCCAGCCTGGGTGACAGAGCAAGACACTGTCTCAGAACAAAACAAAACAAAAAACAATAGGTTTTTTTGACCCTAGGTTAAAACTGTAAGTTAATATACACAGAGAAAGATGTCTGAAAGAATGTTAACCACTGTTAACATTTCAGTAAACTCTGAGTGGCAGAATTTGGGGAGATTTTAAACTTTTGTTTAAAAGGTTAAAACAAAAGTATAGTATAAAATTTATACTATTCATAAACATATATTTCTGTATAGTATTTTTTAAATTAACATCATTTTTAAAACAAAAAAATTTTTTAACTACTTTAAGAAATCAAAACACAATTTCTTTTTACAAAGAATTTTGATATATATACAAAAAAGGCTCATTTTAAATATTATTCTTTGAAATGATTTTAAGTAAGACCGTTTTAATTCAAAGGAAATTACAGCAAAATAAATTAGAATCCCTTTATATTTGAACTTTGCCCATGACTGAATGACCCTCTGACAAAGAGGACCTAGAAAAGAGTGACAATTTTAACAGTATTTATTATAGTTCTTTAGCTCAAATCTGGAGATTCATACATTTCTGAAATGCATTCCTTTTAGAATTACAAGGAAGCCTTAATAGACACTCAGAAATCTAACTACACTCAATACTTGACAACATGATATAAATTTTCAATTGTACCACCTCGTGGCAACACCTGAAACCTGTGTCTGCTTCCTCTAGCCTCAAGGTCCTTCCTGGCAATATTTTACATAAATCTTACCTCTTCAAGTTTCTTCTCAATCTCCTTAAAAACAAGATTTGCCTTAAATCCATCACTTGCAGAGCTGGTTGGAACAGCTTCAATTTGATGAGTTCTAAAAGAACTGGGGAAAAGAAACTGTTTCAATTCATGGAGTCACATAGGTACTAGGTTTTTCAACATTTATAAAATAGTAATTTTCAAAATTTTCAAAAACCCTAAGAACAGAGATGTTGCAAATCTTATCCAAAGGAAATCTTTAGTAAGCATATAAAATAATTAAGCTTGGCCGGGCGCGATGGCTCAATGCCTATAGTCCCTGCACTTTGGGAGGCCGAGGCGAGTGGATCACCTGTAGTCGGGAGTTCGAGACCAGCCTGGCCACCATGGAGAAACCCCGTATCTACTAAAAATACAAAAATTAGCTGGGCATGATGGCGCATGCCTGTAATCCCAGCAACTCAGGAGGCTGAGGTAGGAGAATCGCTTGAACCTAGGAGGCGGAGGTTGCAGTGAGCCGAGATGGCACCATTGCACTCCATGCTGGGCAACAAGAGCGAAACTCCGTCATAAACAAAGAAACAATTAAGCTCTTCTTCTCATTTTTTCAACACATAATCAGCTCATTAGGAGCTAGAAGTTTTTCTTGAAAATACAGTAAACCAAAGAAGCTACCCTCATGAATCTTACATCCTAGTGGAGGAGACAATTTAGAAACAAAAAAATAAATAATATAGTTAGCCAGGCACAGTGGCTCACACCTGTAATCCTACACTTTGGGAGGCCAAGGCGGACAGATCGCTTGAGCTCAGGAGTTCGAGACCAGCCTGGGCAACATGTTGAAACCCCGTCTCTATAAAAAACACAAAAATTGGCCTGGTGTGGTGGTGCGTGCCTGTAGTCCCAGCTACTCAGGAGGCTGAGATGGAAGGATTGCTTGAGCCTGGGTGATGGAACCAGACCATTTCTAAATAAATAAGTTATTTATTAACCTATTATGGTGGCATGTGTCTGTAGTCCTAGCTACTCAGGAGGCTAAAGTGGAAGGATCACCTGAGCCTGGGAGATAGAGGCTGCAGTGAGCTATGATCACACCACTGCACCCCATCCTGGGTGACAGAGTGAGAACCTGTCAAAAAAAAAAAAAAAAAGTGCAGCAGTTGTTCAATAAGCATCTGTCTTTTTCTACCCCTCTCCTCTCATGTATGTCTCCCTGCAGTCCTCAAATCCATTTCTCCTTCCTCTTTCCCTTTTCCTTCTATTATTTCATACTTTTTCTCTCTCTCTTTCCCACAGGGACTCTGTCGCCCAGGCTGGGGTGCAGTGGTCCTGTCACAGCTTACTGTAACCTCGAACTCCTGGTCTCAGGCAATCTTGCCTCAGCCTCCCAAGTAAGCTGGGACTATAGGCGCATGCCACCATGCCCAGCTAATTTTTCAAATTTTTTGTAGAGACAGGGGCCTTGTTATGTTGCCCAGGCTGGTCTCAAACTCCTGGGCTCAATCGATCCTCCCACATTGGCCTCCCAAGGTGCTGAGATTACAGATGTGAGCCACTGTGCCTGGCCTCGTTTCATAAATATTTAATGACTTCTTGCTACATGCCAAGCAAGACATTTCAAAACACTGGGGATATGATAGTGAACAGATCAGACCCAGTCCTTGCACTCACTTAGTTTATATTCTTCCAGTGGAGGAGAAAAAGAAGTAAACACAAAATAACTGCAAACTGTACCAAGTACTTTGAAACAGGAGTAGGGTGACTATAGTTTACTATACATTTACATTTCTAAATAGCAAAAAGAGAATAATCAAAAGAGAATAATTCAAATGTTCCTAGAATAAAGAAAAGACAAATATTTAAGGTGATGGATATCCCAAGTATACTGATTTGATTTTCACAAATTACATGAATGTATTAAATTAGTACTTGTACCCTGAGACTATGTACATCAGTTATGCATCAATAAAAAATAATTTTAAATTTAAAAAAAAGGAACCTACTTTAGGAAGGACAGTCAAGGAATGACCTCTAAGACCTTATTAAAGGAAGAAAAGGAGCTAGCCATTCAAAGAGGAAACTGCAAAGATCCTGAGGGAGAAAGGAGTATGTTAAAAGAAAGTCAAATAAGACCAGAGTCTCTATAATACAGTAGGTGTGGGGAGAGTGACATGAAATGAAATTGGAGAACTAGGCAGGCCAAATGATGATGCAGGCAGGCCAAAGTAGGGAATTTGGAAATCCATAGAAATGATAACATGGAAGTGAAATTGTTTGATTTGTGATTATTCTTACAACAGTGTGCTGAACGAATGACGATGGAGAGAGGAGCAAGAGGAGTGGGCACTAGTTAGGAGGCTGTTGGAATAATCCAGATAGGAGGTGATGGTGGCCTGGACTACAGAGGCAGTCTGCCAGTAGATAGAGAGTGGGAATAGATTCAAAATAGAAATAGAATCCACAAGCCTTGCTGTGGGGGTGAGGGAGATACAAAGAGGAAAGGGCAAGGATTATCCAGGCATTTGGCCTGAATAACTGGGTGATGGAGAGGCCATTACGAGGACAAGGAGGAATGTAGTGGGAATAGAGGGGATCCAAGTTCTGTTTAAGGCACAGTAAGTATACTATTTTATAAAACAAGAAAGCCATGGATATGAGAGTCTGGAGCTCAGTGGAGAGGGCCAGCTAGAGATAAAATGGAGAAATCATCAGCATAGTGAAAGCATTTAAATCCCTGGGCAGGGACTGTAACAGAATTATAGAGAAACAAGAGAGTCCAGCACAATGCCCTTTAGACCTCCATTACTCAGAGTCAGGGACAGAAGGGAAAGCAGCAGCCAGTGATGCAAGAGGAAAACCAGCATGGTGTCATAGGAGCCGGGAGCAAGATTCCAGGAGGGAGGGGCAAACTGTCAAATGCTGCCACAAGGTCAAGTATCCACTAGATGTGCACATGGAGAGTACAGATGACCTGACCTTGACAAAAGCAGTTTTCAGTGGAGGGTGGAAGTCAGATTATAGTGAATTGAAGAGTGAATAGAAGAGGGAAATAGACACAGCGTGGCTCTTTTGAGACATTAGTCTTAGTGGAACAGTAAAATGAGGTGGTCTCTGGAGAGGAATGTGGTGGTATCAAGGAAGAGTTGTGGGATTTTTTTGGTGGGGGGGATAAAGATGACATCTTTATTTTCACTAATCTCTTAAAGAAATGTAGCATTTCTGGGCAGGCGTGGTAGCTCACACCTGTAATCCCAGCACTTTGGGACGCCGAGGCAGGTGGATCACCTGAGGTCAGGAGTTCGAGACCAGCCTGGCCAACATAGTGAAACCCCGTCTCTACTAAAAATACAAAAATTAGCCGGGCATTGTGGTGTGCGCCTGTAAACTCAGCTACTCGGGAGTCTGAGGCAGGAGAATTCGCTTGAACCCAGGAGACAAAGGTTGCAGTGAGCAGAGATCATGCCACTGCACTCCAGCCTGGGCAACAGAGCAAGACTCCATCTCAAAAAAAAAAAGAAAAAAAAAGAAAGAAAGAAATGTAGCATTTCCTTCTGGATGTGGGCATATGAGAGTCCTATAACTTTTAAAAAATATTTTATTTTCCAATTTTTTATTATGTTAAAATACACATAAAATTTACCATCCTAACCATATTTAAGTGTTCAGTTTAGTAGTATTAAATACAGTCATAATGTTGTGCAACCATCATCACCTTTCATCTCCATAACTCTTTTCATCTTGCAAAACTGAAACTCTACCCATTAAAGAGTAACTCCTCACTCCCCCCTGCTTCCAACCCCTGGCAACCACCATTCTACTTTCTGTCTCTATAATTTTGAATACTCTAGGTACCTCTAGGTACTATGATTCTAAGTGGAATCATATAGTATTTGTCTTTTTGTGACTGACATATCACTTGGCATAATGTTCTCAAGGATCATCCATCTTGCAGCATGTCAGGATTTTCAAAAAGGCTGGGTTTCATTTTAAGATGAACAAATCAGAACAGGTATGCCTGATGATGGTAAGGAACCTGGAAAAAGGAGATGGAAGGAGAAAAATCTTGTGGCCTGTGACAGGACGAGGAGACTCAAGCGAAGAAAGAGGATCAGATGGGTGTAATTCTCGTGTAGTGGGTCTGTAGGTCTTGGATGGAAGTTGAGGAAGTTTGGGTTTAATGGCTTCTATTTCTCAACAAAGTATAAGGCAAAGTAATCAGCAGAGAGTGAGGGTGAAAGGAAGGGTGTGGAGAGTCTAAATTGAAAAGAGAGCCTACTAGAGGAATCATATTAATATATGAACAGGGAATGGAACCTCATCTCCAGCAAGCAGACTCTGTGCAGTCCTCGTTGCACAGAATGCCACCTCACACTTCTATGCCTTTGCCACTGCTGCTCCCTGGGTCCAGAATACCTCCATCTTAGCAAACTCCATTTCTCCCTTCGAGACCCAGCCCTTTCAGGAAACTACTTTTCTGTGAAACCCTACTAAATGTCAACGGCTTAAGAGCAGATACCATACCTTTTCTTTAAAAAAAATCTCTGTATTGCCAGTTCCCAGCAAATCATAAGCATTTAGTGAATAGTGACTGAATGGAACTGAAGTTACCCTGAATTCTCCCTTGCCTAACTCCTAATTCCTTCCTGTTCCATTCAGAGCAGAATTATCTATGGTACAGTATATCGTCTTGGTCAAAAGTCTGAATATGTGACCTAAAATCAAGTAGCCACAGCTAGTTCTCCACAAGCCAATTTCATTTCATTGGTCCAATTTTTCAGTTACTTTTAATCATCATTGTGCCCTTTTCCAAACTTGCCACATCTTGCATGTTCCCAAAGGTCACAGGTGTGTCTTTTATCTTGCTTGTTTTGAAAAGCTCATGAAGTTAGTGATGAACCAACTTTTCATCCAGATTAAAAGTTAATATGTAAAGTTTTATCAATGTTTTCTGAAAACCCCTCATTCCTTAAAATTTATATATGTGCCCTGCTCTAAGAAAACTGAATATATCAACTTAAACTCAGAGAGTATTCACATTCACAAAAGGATGTTCCTCATGATTTCTTTACATAAAAAGTTCTTTTATCAGAAACTAAATTCCAATTGGTTTTATTTTTTTAATTTGGTTTATATATGTTTCCTGGAATAAATCTAGTATATAAACATTGAAAGGAAACTTGAAGATAAAAACCAGCAAATAACCTACTCAGCATATGAATTCCCTCCATGATTCTTGAAAATTTTCATTCTAAGGCCTAAAACAGGCTCTGCTACAACAATGTCAAAGACTGAGAGCACAGAGTAGCCAGGAAAACAGAAGCACCGCACTCAGCTAGAACCTTGATTCCTACCACTCAAGGCTCTCTCTCCTTAGATAAGTTATTTTAACTCTGATCATCAATCTCATCTATAAACAGAAATACCTAATGTGTGGGACTTTTATGAGGATTAAACAAAGAAGTACATGTGAAACGCCTAGTGTGGTCCTGGCACATACCAGGCCCTCAAAAAGTGATTGTGAAAGAGCTCTCACAACTCAATAATTAAAATACAAAGACCCCAGTTTTCAAATGCCAAAGGATCTGAATAGGCTTTTCTCCAAAGAAGATATGCATATAGCCAATAAACATGAAAAGATGCTGATCATCAATAGCCATCAGGGAAATGCAAAGAACAATGAAATACCACTACACAACCACTAGGATGGCTAACACTAAAAAGATAGGTAACAAGAAGTAATGACAGAATGTGGAGAAATGGGAACCTTCAGCCATATAAAGGAATCAAGTACTGATATATGCCACAACATGGATGAATCTTGACAACATTATGCTAAATGAAAGAAGCCAGTCACCAAAGGCCATACAATGTATGATTTCATTTACATACAACGTCCATAACAGGCAAATCCATAGAGACAGAAAGTAGGTTAGTGTTTGCCAGAGACTGCAAGAAGGAGGGATTACTAATGGGTACACACTTTCTCTTGAGGTGACGAAAACGTTCTAAGATTAATTGCAGTAATGACTGCACAACTTTGTGATATGCTAAAAACCACTGAACGTACACTTAAAATGCGTGAATTGTGGGCATGTGAATTAGGTCTTAATAAAGTTATCTGAAATAATTTTTAAAAAATGGTTGATGAGGCCGGGCATGGTGGCTCATGCCTGTAATCCCAGCACTTTGGGAGTCCAAGGCAGGTGGATCACATGAGGCCAGGAGTTCAAGACCAGCCTGGAAAAAATGGCAAAACACCGTCTCTTCTAAAAATACAAAAATTAGCTGGGCCTGGTGGCCTATGACTGTAGTCCCAGCTACTCGGGAGTCTGAGGCACAAGAATCGCTTGAACCCAGGAGGCAGAGATTGTAGTGAGATGAGATCATACTGCTGCACTCCAGCCTGGGTGACAAGGCAAGACTCTGTCCCAAAAAAAAAAAAAAAAAGAAAGAAAAAGAAAAGGAAAGAAAAAGCCCGAGCTCGGTGGCTCATGCCTGTAATCCCAGCACTTTGGGAGGCCAAGGTGGGAGGATTACTTGAGGTCAGGAGTTCAAGACTAGCCTGGCCAACATGGGAAACCCCATCTCTACTAAAAATACAAAAATTAGCCAGCTAGGCCTGGTGGTGCGTGCCTGTAGTCCCAGCTACTCAAGAGGCTGAGGCAGGAGAATTGCTTGAACCCGGGAGGCAAAGGCTGCAGTGAGCCAAGATTGCGCAACTGCACTCCAGCCTGGGCGACAGAGCAAGACTCCATCTCAAAAAAAAAAAAAAAAAGTGGTTGACGGCCAGGCATGGTGGCTCATGCCTGTCATCTCAGCACTTTGGGAGGCCAAGGCAGGTGGATCACTTGAGCCCAAGAGTTCAAGACCAACCTGGGCGACATGGTGAAACCCTACCTCTACAAAAAAAATACAAAAATTAGCTGGGCATGACGGTGTGTGCCTGTGGTCCAAACTACTCAGGAGGCTGAGGTGGGAAGATTATCTGAGCCTGGGGAGGTCGAGGCTGCAGTAACCCAAGATAACACCACTGCAATCCAGCCTGGATGACAGAGTGAGACTCTGTCTAAAAAAAAAAGTGGTTGCTGTTATTCTTAGTGTTTGGGAAGATTATAAAGTCCTGCATTGTAATCAAACCTTCATCCCTAAAACGAAAATTTAACCAGTAATCAGTTTGTTCTGACTGGAGACGGTCGTACAGTACGCGTAAGTTTCAGGGAATATCAAGTTCATTTGTAATCAGCTACTCCCCATGACCTCAGAGCAGGCACATGGGTCCATCACACATAGAAATACAGCCCACAGAGTTGAGAGTTGGAAGACAAACAAAGAAACCTCATAGAGGTATGGTGGGAGATATGATAAGATCCTCTTTGGCCAAGCTGTAGGCTTCAATGAGTTGGATATGTTCCCCATACTGTACTAAAAATTTAAGTTCATTTTTTTCCTATACCCCTAAGTAATATTTATAATTAATAAATAAAACCATTTTCAGGCTGGGCACAGTGGCTCACACCTGTAATCCCAGCACTACTGGAGGCTGAGGTGGGCAGACTGCTTGACTCCAGGAGTCTGAGACCAGCCTGGGCAACATAGCAAAACCCTGTCTCTATAAAATTGAATTAAATTAAACTAAGATAAAACTATTTTTGACCTTTAACCAGTGACACAACTAGAGAAATAGGAAAGAAGAAAGGAAAATGCACTGGGAAATAAAAAACCAAAAGTTTATTGAGCAACTACAATGTGTGGCAGATATTTTTAATTTGTTATTTTCTGATCCCTAAAGTACATATTTTCAGTATTTTCTAAATAAGGAAAAGGCTAAATTAATATGCTCAAAGCCAGTAGTGTGATCAAAAAGTTGATTAAGGTACTCTTCCCACTGATCAAAACTGTCTCTGATGGCATGGCATGGTGGCTCATGTCTGTAATCCCAGCACTTTGGGAGGCCGAGGCAGGCAGATCACTTGAGTTCAGGAGTTCAAGACCAGCCTGGACAACATGGCAAAACTCCGTCTCTACTAAAAATACAAAAATTAGCCAGGCATGGTGGCATGCACCTGTAATCCCAGCTACTCAGGAGGCTTAGGCACAAGAATTGCATGAACCCAGGAGGTGGAAGTTGCAGTGAGCTGAGAATGTGCTACTGCGCTCCAGCCTAGATGACAGAGGGAGACTCTGTCTCAAAAAAACAAAAATCTGTCTCCGGTAACTCTAGTCTATAAAATTTAAAAAGTTGTCACATACAAGTGACATTTAACTAGTTTTATAAATTCCTCATTCTAACTGCTAACAAACTGGTGGCTACATGAGTATGGAAACAGATATACATCACATTAAGATTATTGCGTGCATTCCTTAAATATCTGTCTTAAAACAAAACTAAAGTAATGCTTGTGTGTGCTACTGCGCTTGCTGAAAAGGCCTAGAAGTAATAATAACAAGCACACAGCTAACAGCCATTTGTGGTTTCCATATACCATTCTCTACTAAAAGGAACCAGGACTCAGAGAAATGACTGATCCTAGGGCTGAGGCATGGAAAGCACAGGACGAGCCTGGAATATCTTCTTGCGCCAGAAAGTAAGGAACTACTAAAAGGAATCATAGGGAAAAATGAATCAACTTGATCAGGTTCCCACTGGCCAAATCAGGGGCATTTTGAAAATCAAAATAATTGATACCACTTTACTATAACCCAGTGAATACAATAAGAATTCATGAGTTTGTATGCATACATATATAAATATATGAATAAATTTTGAAATGGAAGACAAGGGAAAGCTCTTCTTTACAGAATAATGCCAGTTAATAAGTATAGAAAAAATGGTATCATCTCAAAGCATCTTGCTACAAATTACTTATTAATTACAAAGAAAAGAACAGCAACTTTTCAGAGGAAAACATGGTAGATGCCACATTAAGTGATTAAAGCTAACAACACCAATATGGGTTAAACAACCTCATGCACCTCCAGATATGATGCACCTAGAAGGACACAACATAATTTCATGCTGCAAAAAATGTATAATCTGAATCTAATTTGGGGAAACATTAGGCAATTGCAAACTGAGAAGCATTCTACTATTAAAGAATATACTTGCACTCTTCAAAAAAATCATGGTCAAGAAATACAAAGAAAGTCTGAGGGATCATTTCACATTAAAGGAAACTAAAGAGACATGACAGCTAAATGCATTTTTAGGGATTTCTCCTGACAGGGAGAAAAAATAAAGTTTAGAGTATATTTTATAAATATATTATTGGGACAGTTGTTGAACTGTGACTATGTTATTTGAATGAGTTCATAGTATTGTATCCATGTCTTTCTTTTTTCTTTTTTTTTTTTTGAAACAGAGTCTTGCTCTGTTGCCCAGGCTGGAGTTCAGTGGCATGATCTCAGCTCACCCCAACCTCTGCCTCCCAGGCTCAAGCGATTCTCATGCCACAGCCTCCTGAGTAGCTGGGACTACAGGCATGTGCTACCACGCCTGGCTAATTTTTGATTTTTAGTAGAGAGGGGGTTTCGCCATGTTGTCCAGGCTGGTCTCAAACTCCTGACCGCAAGCCATCCACTCGCCTCAGCCTCCCAAAGTGCTGGGATTACAGGCATGAGATACCACGCCCAACCCTGTTAAGTTTCTTGAGTTTTATAACTACTGTGGTTAAGCAAAAGAATATCATTGTTTCTACAATTACACACTGAAATATTTAGGGATAAAGAAGCATAACAACTCCACCTTTCTCTCAGATAGTTAAGAAAAAATGTATACAGATATAAATATATGTAGAGGAAAAATGATAAAGCAAATGGGCAAAATGTCAACAATTGGTAAATCTAGGTAGAAGGTATAAGGGAGTTCCTTGTATTATTCTTAGAATTTTTTCCTGTTTGTTTGTAACTACCTAACAGGTTCTAATTGAAAAAGAAATTCAGGCCAGGCGCAATGGTCCATGCCTGTAATCTCAGCACTTTGGGAGGCAGAGGCAGGTGGATTACCTGAGGTCAGGAGTTCAAGACCAGCCTGGCCAACATGGTGAAACCCTGTCTTTACTACAAATAGAAAAATAAGCCGGGCGTGGTAGTGAGCACCTGTAATCCCAGCTACTTGGGAGGCTGAGGCAAGAGAATCACTTGCACCTGGGAGGCGGAGGTTGCAGTGAGCCGAGATTGTGCCATTGCACTGCAGCCTGGGTGACAAGAGCCAAACTCTGTCTCAAAAAAGAAAAGAAAAAAGAAAATACGAACAAGTTAATCACCTGCAATGCTACTACTCCAACAATTTTTCTCTATCCATTTTTCTGTATTGCTTCTTGTTGTCTTTATTTATAGGCATGCATACAGTTGTAATCATTATATAGAAACAATTTTTACTTCTAATTTAACTTCTTATATGACTTAGGATCTTCAAATAGTACCCACTGGGTTAAACTTTCAAGCTAACTTAGTTTTCCATTAAAAAGAAAATGGGAATAATCCAAATATGCCTCAACCAAAGAATGGGTAAGCAACTAACACTTCCATACAATGGAATATTATTGAGCAATAAAAGGGGACAAATTACTGATACACACAATAACGTGGATGAATTTTAAAATGTGTAATACTAAGTGAAAGAAGCCAGACTCAAAGGCTTTTTGATTCCATTCACATGACACTCTGCAAAAAGGAGTACTACATGGGTGGAAAACAGATCAGTGGTTGCCAGAGGCTAGAAGAGAAGGAGAAGGGTTGACTACATGGGTGCACAAGGAACATTTTTGGGCAATAAAACTATTTTATATTTTGATTATGGTGGTAGTAATACGACTGTATGTTTATCAAAACTTGTGGAAATATAATACAAAGAATGAATTTTACTGTATGTAAATTATACCTTAATTTTAAAAAAAGAAATACAAAACAAAGTTGGGCTTTAAAAGGGGGTTTTATTTAACAGAATATAGAATACATACCTATTCTCAGTCTGTAGCACAAAAGCTCCTCTCTTACGTAAAATGAATAGGATGTTATAATACAAAGTTGATATTCATGTTCAAAACTGGTCTAAATTAAAGTTTAATTGTGAATTAAATGTAGTTGTTCACAGCCCTTAAATGTGACCTCTCCTCTTCATTGTTCACAGCCTGTGTTGCAACACTAAACATTTCTCCTCCACACTCCTACAACAGCTTCCTAAGCATTCCTGGCCTCTGGTCTCTCCACCACCAGCTCAAAGTAATGTCAGACTGATCTACCTAATGTGTAATATAGTCACATGATCTTTTGCTAAAGAATATCTTTCCATATTCTATAGGATAAATTCCAAACTCCTGAGCATTGCATCTGAATCATTTCAAAACCATAATCCCACTTTGTCCCTCTACCCAGGCACACACAAAATAATCTACTCTGTACCCACACAGCACAACCACTTGTCAAACCTCCTTGTATTTTCAAATTTCTATACCTATTGTACAGACTTGGAATGCCCTTCCCCTATACTTCTGTTGGGCAATCCTAGTCATCTCAGTTCAAATTTACTTTCTTCATAATAATTTCTTCCTCTGAGCTTCTACAGCATTTTGAAAAAAGTATGTTGCCTTCCCCATATATTTAGAGGACCATACAAGACTCTGTCTCAAAAAAGAAAAAAACCCCACAAAAACTTAAGATTCAATACTTTTTACTCCCATTCAATAAACATATGAGAGACTCCAGGAACAAGAGATGTAAGTCACAGTCTTAGGCCTCAAGGATTTCATATAATAAAGGGAATTAAAAACCGGATACAGTGCAACCAAACCAACTAGATAGTACCCAAAAACATACAAAGTGCTGTGGATATTCAAAAAGAGATGGTATTTGAGACGGGCTTTAAATTATAAGTTTTACAACAGAAATTATATTCTGGGCAGAGAAAGAGGAGAGGACAAGAGAAGAGATCCAAGAGCTTACAGAAGAATAACATAGACTCAATAAAAGAAGTGTGTCTCCATGTATACATATGCAACAAACCTGCAGGTTGTGCACATGAACCCTACAACTTAAAGTATAATAATAAAAAAAAAGAAGTGTGTCTCATATCCTTTGTTGGAGAAACAAAAAAGTGTGAATAAATGATTAAATAATTACCAAGAATTTCAAAAGAAAAAAGGGAGCCAATTAATGTCAAAAGCTACAGCCGGGTTAAAGAGAGTAAATAGGGAAAATAAAGACAAAGTTATTCAATTTCATTTAGATCCTGGTGGCCTTACCTGACACTGACCTCAGTGGTGAGGTAAAAATTAGACTGTGAGGTATTCCGGCTTGGAAAAATAAAGGTGGCTCAACATAAAAGGCTCATCATGAACAACAACAATTAAGGCAAGGAGAAAAAGAGATCTAAGGGAAGACCTGAACATGTATGCTGACAGAGGGAAAGGAGTCAATGGAAAGATAACCAAGTTACAGAAAGTGACTGGAAACAAAAGCATGGAACAAGGAAAGCTGAGCCTTTGACAGGAGGGGCGCTTTTTTCCTCTGGGGAGGAACATTTCTTTGAGAGATAAGCAAGGGAGTTGAGGGATCCTGAGTGGGATGCGAAAGAAAGTGCCTGCAAATTGAGGAGCATGGGCAGTTGAAGGAGAGGAAGAAAGTCAGCAAGAGACAAAAAGAATTCTAGCATCAACGAGGGCTTATTAGCTGGACTCGGAAATACAAATTTGCAAAGATCCAATCAGCACATTTAGTGACTCCCTAAACCACCTCAGAAGCCTGGAAGGCCATGAGGAGACCTGCCTAAATAACTTAGGTTGCTAGGGCCGAGACCCATACCCAGCTAGCTCAGGCTTCTAGTTCAGTACTCTCGTGACTATCCTGGGTCCTTTTTCAACAGAATTCACCTAAAGTTGGTTAAATTTAAAACCTGATGGCCACTTTTAAAGCCATGTTCTTAAAACAATGTAATGAGATACTTTTCCTTAAATACTAAGACAATAAAATAAGAAATTTTTACATGTAAAACATCATCAACTGTGAAAAGTCAGAAGGATTAACTGACACACAAAACTCTGAATGTCACTCACCTGGCGGCTTCCGGAAAACCCATCTTGTAGAGTGTTACAACCACAGCTCCTCCAATGCCTAAATTATGCTGCAGAGCCACCTTTGCACCAGGAACTTGCCTCTTTCCGGCTTCCCCTCTCAGCTGCCAGCAGAGTTCTGCACACTGAGCAAGACCTAACAAATCGAACACAGAGCACTGAGCTGCTTCCACCAGCTTTCTCAAGCCAGAAAAGGGATGTTTGTGACTTTAAATTAAAGCATTTGATTAAGCCGAGGCCACGTTTGTGTAAATAGTAACTTCTCTTAAAACACCGAAGGGTTTTGCAGCTAGTTATTTTCTCTCTAAATTTCTTTCCTGCACTCTTTCAACTTAACCTGTCGTTTTCTGGCATGTTGAAAGAGAAAACACCGAATCTACAATTCTCTAGTCCAGGGAAAATGGCATAAAAATAATTTAATTTTACCATTTTTAATGTATTAAAAGAAAATAAACAAGGATTTGGAAGTTCACATTCCCTAAAAGTTTAGCTGGTATGGGAAATTTTTCCTATTATTTTCCTCCAAGTAGTTCCCAACAACAATGAGTTGTTTTCCAGACCTATTCACAGATATTCACAAGAAAGGTTCTGGATTCAAAAGGATAACATTCTGTCCCCTGAATAATAAAATCAAAGATGTTTAGAGCTGAAAGGAACTTACTGATGTAAACACTGAGAAACAGAAAGGTTAATCTGTGAATGGTTACAAAGCAGGCTAATTTCAGAGGTAAGGTTAGAACCCATGACTCCAGATGTATATTTGTTTGCCTTTCTATCGGACCAGCTATTGAAGGAGAGCTGGGTTAAGAATGTTCTATCAGGGCCGGGCGCGGTGGCTCACGCCTGTAATCCCAGCACTTTGGGAGGCCGAGGAGGGCAGATCACGAGGTCAGGAGATCAAGACCATCCTGGCTAACACGGTGAAACCCCGTCTCTACTAAAAATACAAAAAAAAAAAAAAAATTAGCCGGGCGTGGTGGCAGGCGCCTCTAGTCCCAGCTACTAGGGAGGCTGAGGCAGGAGAATGGCGTGAACCCGGGAGGCAGAGCTTGCAGTGAGCTGAGATCGGGCCACTGCACTCCAGCCTGGGCGACAGAGCAAGACTCCGTCTCAAAAAAAAAAAAAAAAAAAAAAAAAAAAAAAGAATGTTCTATCAGGGCAGACTGGTCTGCAGGTCTACTACTTACAGTGCCTATTCTTCCATACACATCCCCAGCCACAACTTCCAATTCCTGAGTACCTGTGACAATTTCCTGTATAAACCCCAACTTCCCCAAGAAATTTAACTGCTGCTTTTCATTTCTAAGCAGTGTCTATATATTTACAGACCATGTATCTTAAACACTATTTAAAAATAGGTAGCTCCCAGTGTGGACAACATAGCAAGACCTCATCTCTACTAAAAATAAATTTATTTTATTTATTATGTTTGAGACAGAGTCTTGCTCTGTTGCCCAGGATAGAGTGCAGTGGCACGATCTTGGCTCACTGCAACCTCCACCTCCCAGGTTCCAGCGATTCTCCTGCCTCAGCCTCCCAAGTAGCTGGGACTCCAGGCATGCGCCACCACTCCCAGCTATTTTTTTTTTTTTTTTTTTTTTTTTAGTAGAGACGGGGTTTCACTATATTCGCCAGGCTGGTCTTGAACTCCTGACCTCGTGATCTGCCCACCTTGGCCTCCCCAAGTGCTGGGATTACAGGCATGAGCCACCGCACCCGGCCTAAAAATAAAATTTTTTTAAATCAGCCAGGCATGGGGACACATGTCTGTAGCCCTAGCTACTCAAGAGGCTGAGGAAGGAGGATGGCCTGAGCCCAGGAAGTCAAGGCTGCAGTGAGTTATAATCATGCCACTGCACTCCAGCAGGGCAAGATTATAGGGGGAGACCCTGTCTCAAAAAAAAAAAAAAAAAAAAAAAGGTAGCTCCACAACTGGTAATAACTTTTTGAATTGTGAACAATTTAGAAATTAATGAGGAAGGTCAAAGTGAAATGACTCTATTATACCCAAACTTGGGGGCAATCAGTTTTACTGGAAATCTGCCTTTATAAATGAATATGTAAGACAAAAAAGACAAAAAATATTCAAACTGGTCTTAGATACGCTGCTAGTTGTCTTCACAAAAGAACAGATGCAATTTACAACTATTTGAGAAAATACTCAATCTCACCATTGATAAAAATCAAATAGATACCATTTTACACCAATCAAATTGGTAAGAATATGTAAAAATGGGAATAATCAATGCAGGGGAAACTATGGCAAGATAGCCACCTCTATACAGAACTGGTCAAAGTTTAAACCAGGACAACCTTTTTGGAAAGCAATGTACAAAGTTATGAAGAGTCTTTAAAATGCCTTCAAAACCATTCCATGGAAATAATCAAATGTAGGGAAAGTTTTACACACAAAGCTATCTGTTCATCATACTGTTATAACAGTGAAAAACTAGATAATCTAGAAGTGAAGTAACTGGGGAATGGTTACGTAGAGAGGGGCAAAGGGAGCAAATGCTCCTTGGCCCTCTGAAGGTTTCCTGAAAAATCAACTTGTAAAAGTCAGATTAATTAGAGAAAGGGTATACAAATTTATTTAACATGTATACATAGGAGCATTCAGAATAAAGACCCAAAGATACAGGGGAAGTTGTCCATTTTATGCTTAAGTTCAACAAAGTATGGAACAGCCCTATAGAAATATGATTGGACAAAAAGCATATGATCTAATGCTAATAGACTGAGTGGGGAAACCCAGCCAGGCCTGTCCATCTAGGTTCTTCTTGGCCTCTCTGAGCACGCATTCCTTCCTTCTGGGCGTGGGGCAGGTCCCTTTCTGGAATGGGGGTCTTATGACCCCCAGTCAAACAAGATAGGTCAGATAATTTCTTTATGGCTAGTTTTTACACAGAAAGGTGAAGGGAAGTTATAGTAGTATTCTAGGTTTTATGACTGGCTTTGGGGAAAAGGGGTTATGGCTTTCATGATCTGCCTTGAGGAAGAGGGATTCTAGTTTCTACGGCTGGCCTTGGTGGGGAGAATGGGACTGAGAGACAGGAGGCCAGGAGAAGGCCAGAGAAAAATTTTTGCTTCTGAGGCTTTTATTTTGGTGTATTGTTTTCTAAGCCCTAACGGTGATGTAAATTAAAAGCTAGATGTAAATAGAAAAAGCAAGCTGTTTTTCCTTTCTACTCAACATACTCACAGCACACTTCTGTGACTAGATGTCGGAAAGGTGAGGGCTTCCCCCAAATAGCAAATCGATTCTTTTACAGATACCGATGAGGTATTCTGTAATTCATTTCAATTCTAACACTATTTACCTGGAGATAGTGTCAGATCCCATGGGTTGAGGGCTGAGTCCCACCAGGCTGTTCATACTTCAGATGCCAAATGCAAGTCCAAGCCACCTGTACTTCCAACCAACTGGTTACAAAACATCATCTTGCTGCAAACATTTCCTAACAAGATGTTGGTCAACCTTTTTACATGAAAGTAACTGACCTAGGACTCAGCTACATACATAAGGGTATACAATCTGGTTGCTTCTAAAAATAAACCATTCGAACATGTATCAAACACTCTACCAAATGTTAAAGATAACAGAGGATTCACAGTGTAATGTAAATGCAAAGTGCTAACAAAGATAAGGACGTTAAGTGCTATGAATAGACACAGAATGGAAAAGCTATAGGAGATAACATTTTGAGTTATTCTCTGAGGTCTTTTCCTCCTTCTCCTTGAACGTATAAACCTTCCTATACTATCAAGACAGCCAAGTACAATAAAGTCATAATCCGGCTTTAGTTTCAAATTAGACATTTAAATGCTTTTCCAAAAACAACATTAAAAAGCATGGTTTTCTACTATCAGAGCCTGAATTTTTGAGGAAGAAAAGGCTTGTTGAGCTTCAAACAGCAAAAAGTTTTCATAGACTCAGCATACACTGAAGAATGTATATTTATAATAGAGCAGTTTTTCTCTCCAAAAGATATAAAATTTGTCACGCACGTCCATGTGAAGAGACCACCCAACAGGCTTTGTGTGAGCAACAAGGCTGTTTATTTCACCTGGGTGCAGGCGGGCTGAGTCTGAAAAAGGAGTCAGCAAAAGGTGGTGGGATTATCATTAGTTCTTATAGGTTTTGGGAGAGATGGTGGAGTTAGGAGCAATTTTTTGTGGGCAGGGGGTGAATCTCACAAAGTACATTCTCAAGGGCAGGGAGAATACTACAAAGTACCTTTTTTTATTGTTATACTTTAAGTTCTAGGGTCCATGTGCACAATGTGCAGCTTTGTTACATATATATACATGTGCCATGTTGGTGTGCTGCACCCATTAACTCGTCATTTATATTAGGTATATCTCCTAATGCTATCCCTTCCCCCTTCCCCCACCCAACGACAGACCCCAGTGTGTGATGTTCCCCACCATGTGTCCAAGTGTTCTCATTGTTCAATTCCCACCTATGAGTGAGAACATGTGGTGTTTGGTTTTCTGTCCTTCCGACAGTTTGCTCAGAATGATGGTTTCCAGCTTCATCCATGTCCCTACAAAGGACATGAACTCATCCTTTTTTATGGCTGCATAGTATTCCGTGGTGTATATGTGCCACATTTTCTTAATCCACTATATCATTGATGGACATTTGGGTTGGTTCCAAGTCTTTGCTATTGTGAATAGTGCCACAATAAACATACGTGTGCATGTGTCTTTATAGCAGCATGATTTATAATCCTTTGGGTATATACCCAGTAATGGGATGGCTGGGTCAAATGCTATTTCTAGTTCTAGATCCCTGAGGAATTGCCACACTGTCTTCCACAATGGTTGAACTAGTTTACAGTCCCACCAACAGTGTAAAAGTGTTCCTAGTTCTCCACATCCTCTCCAGCACCTGTTGTTTCCTGACTTTTTAATGATCACCATTCTAACTGGTGTGAGATGGTATCTCATTGTGGTTTTGATTTGCATTTCTCTGATGGCCAGTGATGATGAGCATTTTTTCATGTGTCTGTTGGCTGCATAAATATCTTCTTTTGAGGAGTGTCTGTTCATATCCTTCTCCCGCTTTTTGATGGGGTTGTTTGATTTTTTCTTGTAAATTTGTTTAAGTTCTTTGTAGATTCTGGATATTAGCCCTTTCTCAGATAGGTAGGTTGCAAAAATTTTCTCCCATTCTGTAGGTTGCCTGTGTACTCTGATGGTAGTTTCTTTTGCTGTGCAGAAGCTCTTCAGTTTAATTAGATCCCATTTGTCAATTTTGGCTTTTGTTGCCATTGCTTTTGGTGTTTTAGTCATGAAGTCCTTGCCCATGCCTATGGCCTGAATGGTATTGCCTAGGTTTTCTTCTAGGGTTTTTATGGTTTTAGGTCTAACATTTAAGTCTTTAATCCATCTTGAATTAATTTTTGTATAAGGTGTAAGGAAGGGATCCAGTTTCAGCTTTCTACATATGGCTAGCCAGTTTTCCCAGCACCGTTTACTAAATAGGGAATCCTTCCCCCATTTCTTGTTTTTGTCAGGTTTGTCAAAGATCAGATGGTTGTAGATGTGTGGTATTATTTCTCAGGGCTCTGTTCTGTTCCATTGGTCTATATCTCTGTTTTGATACCAGTACCATGCTGTTTTGGTTACTGTAGCCTTGTAGTATAGTTTGAAGTCAGGTAGCGTGATGCCTCCAGCTTTGTTCTTTTGGCTTAGGATTGTCTTGGCAATGCGGCCTCTTTTTTGGTTTCATATTAACTTTAAAGTAGTTTTTTCCAATTCTGTGAAGAAGGTCATTGGTAACTTGATGGGGATGGCACTGAATCTATAAATTACCTTGGGCAGTACGGCCATTTTCACGATATTCATTCTTCCTACCCATGAGCATGGAATGTTCTTCCATTTGTTTGTGTCCTCTTTTATTTCGTTGAGCAGTGGTTTGTAGTTCTCCTTGAAGGGGTCCTTCACATCCCTTGTAAGTTGGATTCCTAGGTATTTTATTCTCTTTGAAGCAATTGTGAATGGGAGTTCACTCATGATTTGGCTGTTTGTCTGTTATTGGTGTATAGGAATGCTTGTGATTTTTGCACATTGATTTTGTACCCTGAGACTTTGCTGAAGTTGCTTATCAGCTTAAGGAGATTTTGGGCTAAGACGATGGGGTTTGCTAAATATACAATCATGTCATCTGCAAACAGAGACAATTTGACTTCCTCTTTTCCGAATTGAATACCCTTTATTTCTTTCTCCTGCCTGATTGCCTTGGCCAGAATTTCCAACACTATGTTGAATAGGAGTGGTGAGAGAGGGCATTCCTGTCTTGTGCCAGTTTGCAAAGGGAATGCTTCCAGTTTTGGCCCATTCAGTATGATATTGGCTGTGGGTTTGTCATAAATAGCTCTTATTATTTTGAGATATGTCCAATCAATACCTAGTTTATTGAGAGTTTTTAGCATGATGGGCTGTTGAATTTTGTCAAAGGCCTTTTCTGCATCTATTGAGATAATCATGTGGTTTTTGTGTTTGGTTCTGTTTATATGATGGATTACATTTATTAATTTGCATATGTTGAACCAGCCTTGAATCCCAGGGATGAAGCCAACTTGATCGTGGTGGATAAGCTTTTTGATGTGTTGCTGGATTTGGTTTGCCAGTATTTTATTGAGGACTTTTGCATCAATGTTCATCAGGGATATTGGTCTAAAATTCTCTTTTTTTGTTATGTCTCTGCCAGGCTTTGGTATCAGGATGATGCTGGCCTCATAAATTGAGTTAGGGAGGATTCCCTCTTTTTCTATTGATTGGAATAGTTTCAGAAGGAATGGTACCAGCTCCTCTTTGTGCCTCTGGTAGAATTCGGCTGTGAATCCGTCTGGTCCTGGACTTTTTTTGGTTGGTAGGCTATTAATTATTGCCTCAATTTCAAAGCCTGTTATTGGTCTATTCAGGGATTCAACTTCTTCCTCGTTTAGTCTTAGGAGGGTGTATGTGTCCAGGAATTTATCCATTTCTTCTAGATTTTCTAGTTTATTTGAGTAGAGGTGTTTATAGTATTATCTGATGGTAGTTTGTATTTCTGTGGTATCGGTGGTGATATCCCCTTTATCATTTTTTATTGCATCTATTTGATTCTTCTCTCTTTTCTTCTGTATTAGTCTTGCTAGCGGTCTATCAATTTTGTTGATCGCTTCAAAAAACCAGCTCCTGGATTCATTGATTTTTTGAAGGGTTTTTTTGTGTCTCTATCCCCTTCAGTTCTGCTCTGATCTTAGTTATTTCTTGCCTTCTGCTAGCTTTTGAATGTGTTTGCTCTTGCTTCTCTAGTTCTTTTAATTGTGATGTTAGGGTGTCAATTTTAGATCTTTCCTGCTTTCTCTTGTGTACATTTAGTGCTATAAATTTCCCTCTACACACTGCTTTAAATGTTTCCCAGAGATTCTGGTATGTTGTGTCTTTGTTCTCATTGGCTTCAAAGAACATCTTTATTTCTTCCTTCATTTCATTATGTACCCAGTAGTCATTCAGGAGCAGGCTGTTCAGTTTCCATGTAGTTGAGCGGTTTTGAGTGAGTTTCTTAATCCTGAGTTCTAGTTTGATTGCACTATGGTCTGAGAGACAGTTTGTTATAATTTCTGTTCTTTTACATTTGCTGAGGAGTGCTTTACTTCCAACTACATGGTCAATTTTGGAATAAGTGTGATGTGGTGCTGAGAAGAATATATATTCTGTTGATTTGGGGTGGAGAGTTCTGTAGATGTCTATTAAGGCCACTTGGTGCAGAGCTGAGTTCAAGTCCTGGATATCCTTGTTAACTTTCTCTCTCGTTGATCTAATGTTGACAGTGGGGTATTAAAGTCTCCCATTATTATTGTGTGGGAGTCTAATTCTCTTTGTAGGTCTCTAAGGACTTGCTTTATGAATCCGGGTGCTCCTGTATTGGGTGAATATATATTTAGGATAGTTATCTCTTCTTGTTGAATTGATCCCTTTATCATTATGTAATGGCCTTCTTTGTCTCTTTTGATCTTTGTCGGTTTAAAGTCTGTTTTATCAGAGACTAGGATTGCAACCCCTGCTTTTTTTTGTTTTCCATTTGCTTGGTAGATCTTCCTCCATCCCTTTATTTTGAGCCTATGTGTGTCTCTGCACGTGAGATGGGTCTCCTGAATACAGCACACTGATGGGTCTTGACTCTTTATCCAATTTGCCAGTCTGTGTCTTTTAATTGGAGCATTTAGCCCATTTACATTTAAGGTTAATATTGTTATGTGTGAATTTGATCCTGGTCATTATGATGTTAGCTGGTTATTTTGCTCATTAGTTGATGCAGTTTCTTCCTAGCATCAATGATCTTTACAATTTGGCATGTTTTTTCAGTGGCTGGTACCAGTTGTTCCTTTCCATGTTTAGTACTTCCTTCAGGAGCTCTTGTAAGGCAGGCCTGGTGGTGACAAAATCTCTCAGCATTTGCCTGTGTGTAAAGGATTTTATTTCTCCTTCACTTATGAAGCTTAGTTTGGCTGGATATGAAATTTTGGGTTGAAAATTCTTTTCTTTAAGAATGTTGAATATTGGCCCCCACTCTCTTCTGGCTTGTAGAGTTTCTGCCGAGAGATCCGCTGTTAGTCTGTTGGGCTTCCCTTTGTGGGTAACCCGACCTTTCTCTGTGGCTGCCCTTAATATTTTTTCCTTCATTTCAACTTTAGTGAATCTGACAATTACGTGTCTTGGAGTTGCTCTTCTCGAGGAGTATCTTTGTGGCGTTCTATGTATTTCCTGAATTTGAATGTTGGCCTGCCTTGCTAGGTTGGGGAAGTTCTCCTGGATAATATCCTGAAGAGTGTTTTCCAACTTGGTTCCATTCTCCCCCTCACTTTCAGGTACACCAGTCAGACGTAGATTTGGTCTTTTCACATAGTCCCATATTTCTTGGAGGCTTTGTTCATTTCTTTTTATTCTTTTTTCTCTGAACTTCTCTTCTCACTTCATTTCATTCATTTGATCTTCAATCACTGATACCCTTTCTTCCACTTGATCAAATCGGCTACTGAAGCTTTGGCATGTGTCACATAGTTCTTGTGCCATGGTTTTCAGCTCCATCAGGTCATTTAAGGTCTTCTCTATGCTGTTTATTCTAATTAGCCATTCGTCTAATCTTTTTTTCAAGGTTTTTAGCTTCTTTGCGATGGGTTTGAACATCCTCCTTTAGCTCAGAGAAGTTTGTTATTACCGATCATCTGAAGCCTTCTTCTCTCAACTCATCAAAGTCACTCTGCGTCCAAATTTGTTCCATTGCTGGTGAGGAGCTGTGCTCCTTTGGAGGGAAGAGGCACTCTGATTTTTAGAATTTTCAGCTTTTCTGCTCTAGTTTCTCCTCATCTTTGTGGATTTATCTACCTTTGGTCTTTGATGATGGTGACGTACAGATGGGGTTTTGGTGTGAATGTCCTTTCTGTTTGTTAATTTTCCTTCTAACAGTCAGGACCCTCAGCTGCAGGTCTGTTGGAGTTTGCTGGAGGTCCACTCCAGACCCTGTTTGCCTGGGTATCACCAGCGGAGACTGCAGAACACCAAATATTGCAGAACAGCAAATGTTGCTGCCTGATCCTTCCCTTGGATGCTTCATCTCAGAGGGACACCCGGCTGTATGAGGTGTTGGTCAGCCCCTACTGGGAGGTGTCTCCCAGTTAGGCTACTCGGGGGTCAGGGACCCACTTAAGGCAATCTGTTCATTCTCAGATCTCAAACTCCATGCTGGGAGAACCATTACTCTCTTCAAAGCTGTCAGACAGGGACGTTTAAGTCTGCAGAAGTTTCTGCTGCCTTTTGTTCAGCTATGCCCTGCCCCAAGAAGTGGAGTCTACAGAGGCAGGCGGGCCTCGTTGAGCTGCGATGGGCTCCACCCAGTTCAAGCTTCCCAGCCACTTTGTTTACCTACTCAAGCCTCAGCAAAGGCGGATGCCCCTCCCCAAGCCTCGCTGTCACCTTGCAGTTTAATCTCAGACTGCTGTGCTAGCAGCAAGCGAGGCTCCATGGGTGTGGGACCCTCCAAGCCAGGCATGGGATATAATCTCCTGGTGTGCCATTTGCTAAGACCATTGGAAAAGCGCAGTATTAGGGTGGGAGTGTCCCAATTTTCCAGGTACCATCTGTCACGGCTTCCCTTGGCTAGGAAAGGGAATTCCCCAACCTCTTGCACTTCCCGGGTGAGGCAATGCCCTGCCCTGCTTCAGCTCATACTCCGTGGACTGCACCCACTGTCCGACAAGCCCCAGTGAGATGAACCTGGTACCTCAGTTGGAAATGCAGAAATCACCCATCTTCTGCGTCACTCACGCTGGGAGCTGTAGACTGGAGCTGCTCCTATTTGGCCATCTTGGAACCTTCTTAAAGGCAGGGAGGGTATACCCTACAAAGTACATTCACAAGGGCGGTGAATATCACAAAATACATTATCGCAAGGGTGGGGAGGATGTATTGTCACAAAGTCAATTGATCAGTTAGAGTGGGGCAGGAACAGATCACAATGGTGGCATGTCATCAGTTAAGGCAGGAACTGACTATTTTCACTTCTTTTGTGGATCTTCAGTTGCTTCAGGCCATCTGGATGTATACGTGCAGGTCACAGGGGATATGATGGCTTAGCTTGGGCTCAGAGGCCTGACAAAATTATCTATCACATGTAAAATATATTTCAAAAAAAAGTAAAATACAGTAGTGCCCTCACATCCATGGTTTCACTTTCCACAGTTTCAGTTACCCTCAGTCGATTACAGTCTAAAAATATTGAATAGAAAATGCCAGAAATAAACAATTCATAAGTTTTAAGTTGCATGCTGTTCTGAGTAGCATGATAAAATCTCGCACCATTCAGCTCCACCCCACCTGGGATGTGAATCATCCCTTTGCCCAGCATATCCAAGTGGTACATCCCACCCACCCGTTAGTCAGTTAGTAGCTATCTTTGTTATTAGAATGACTGTGATGGGTACTGTGATGGGTACTGCTCGTGTTCAAGTCATCCTTAGTTTACTTAATGATGGCCCCAAAGCGCAAGAGGAGTGAAGTGGCGATTCAGATGTGCATACAAGTGCTTCCTTTAAATGAAAAGGTGGAAGTTCCCAACTTTAAGGGAAAAAAATGGCATGCTGAGGTTGCTAAGATCTACAGTAACAATGAATTTTCTATCCGTGAAATTGTGAAGAAAGAAAAAGGGGCTGGGTGTGGTGACTCACGCCTGTAATCCCAGCTTTTGGGGAGGCCAAGGAGAGAGGACCACTTGAGCCCAGGAGTTTGAGACCAGCCTGGGAAGCATAGGGAGACCCCATCTCTACAAAAGAAAAAATAAAATAAAATTAGCTGGGCATGATGGTGTGCACCTGTGGTCCCAGCTACTTGGGAGACTGAGGCGGGAGGATCACTTGAGCCCAGGAAGTAGAGACTGCAGTAAGCATGTTTGCACCATGTTTGCACTGCACTTCAGCCTGGGCAACAGAGGAAGACTCTATCTCAAAAAAAGAAAAAGAAGGCATGATGGCTCATGCCTATAATCTCAGCACTTTGGAAAGCCAACATGGGCAGATTGCTTTATCCCAGGAGTTCGAGACCAGCCTAAGCAACATGGCGAAAGCCCGTCTCTACCAAAAATGTAAAAAATTAGCCAGGTATGAAGGTGCGTGCCTGCAGTCCCAACTACTTGGGAGACTGAGATAGTAGAATCATTTGAGCCCAAGAAATCGAGGCTACAATGAGCCATGATCATGCCACTGCACTCCAGCCAGAGCAACAGAGCGAAATCCTGGTTTCAAAAATAAAAAAAGAAAAGAAATAGAAACAGAAATTCAGGGCTTTCTCCTAGTTATCTCTAGCTAGCAACAGGTATCTAGAGTAGACACCATCTCCTGGGCTCCATTTGTCCTGGCACAGATAGAGTTTAATGATAAAATTTACCTCTCCTCACATTGCAGTGGTAAAAATGCAAAACTCTGGGCAATGGAAACAAGGATGGGTGGCCTGGAGGATATGATGAAAGGTAAAAAAGAAATTTTGGTGAAAAGCTAATTAGCTCTTACTGACTTGCTGGCTTTTTAAGAGTTTATATTGGATTTAGGCCTTACCAGTCATCGTCCTAGGATTTATTTTGGCAACCTCTTACAGAGTAGACGAGATAAGCCATGGTTTGATTTGAAAATGCTCGGTCCCTTGGTTAAAATTCCACTTCTTCTCACATCATTTTCACCCAAATTCTTAAGACCTAAGAAGTTTATAATGCCTTTAAAAGTACTGAAACATGTAAACAAAAATCACAGGATAGAATAATAATATACGTGTCATTAGAAACATCAAGAACTATGTGAATGCAGAAAAAGAAATAATTACTTCGCACAGGAGATCAGAGCATCTTATAATAGAATTGAAAAGGATCTATGAATTCATCAAATCTAAGGCCCAACAGATGGGCAAAATTCTCCTTACAACATTCCTATCAAGTTGTTACATGTATTTTTTGTGCACAGCCTCTCTGACAGGTAAATGCATGCTCTCAGGAGGCAACCTATTCCATTTTTGAGAAGCCATGTTAGAAAGTTCTCTTGTATCCGGCCAAAATATAACTTCCAATGAATTCTTCCTAATGATCCTAATTCTTCCCACATTAAACAAATGTATTCCCTTTGCTCCATGCCACGTTCTAGATGTTAAAGGAGCAATAATATATTCAACTATCCCTTTAAATATGCAATGTATTGCACACTGTTCAAGGTAGAGAGACAAATGAAATATGAATCCTGACTTCATAGGCTCTTAAATAGGGAAGATATTTTTTTCTTTTTTCTTTCTTTGTTTTTTTTTTTTTTGAGACGGAGTCTCACTCTGTCACCCAGGCTGGAGTGCAGTGGCGTGATCTCGGCTCACTGCAAGCTCCGCCGCCTCCCAGGCTCACGCCATTCTCCTGCCTCAGCCTCCTGAGTAGCTGGGACTACAGGCGCCTGCCACCACACCCAGCTAATTTTTTGAATTTTTAGTAGAGACGGGGTTTCACCATGTTAGCCAGGATGGTCTCGATCTCCTGACCTCATGATCCACCCATCTTGGCCTCCCAAAGTGCTGGGATTACAGGCATGAGCCACCGCACCCAGCCTAAATAGGGAAGATTTTTTTAAAGCCTATAAATAATGATAATATATACTATGAGCATAAATGTCAAAAGAAAAGTACTGAGAAAGTATAGGAGTTCAGAAAAGGGAAAGATTAATTCAATCTATGGAAAGAATCAGTGAAACAGGAAAAGCTTCATAAGGTGGATAGCATTTGAGAGAGCACTTGAAGATGGGCGTTTCCAGTGAGGAAAGGACACTGAAGAACAGTATAATGGTTAAGACCCTGGACGCTAGGAATACATAGCCTGTGTTTGAATCTTAGCTTTGCCACTCTCTAGCTTGATGACTTCATGCAAATCATTTAAACTCTCCATGCCTCTATTTTCTTCTTTTGTAAAAGAGAAAAATCGATATGAAAATTGAATGCACTTGTACATGAAGTATACTTAGAACAGTGTATTATTATTGAGAAAATAACAAAGGTAGAGTTTGTATAGGCAAGAAGGAATTAAACCTGTTTGGTAAAAGCAAACAGTTTGGTTTAAACATGCTTCCTCTTTGTGCATCTCCTTCCCCAAAACTCAAGTAGATAGAAATGCTGGCAAAACACCAGGCATGTGATGGGATTTAGCAAATCTTCATGACCCTGCCATCCTCCTTTCCCTTTTTCTCCTCTTCATACTTCTGCTTTGTACTTCTTCTACAGCACATTCTGCCTTGTATTATAATTACTTATTTAAATATATAAGTATTTGTGTTCTTGTATTATCTGCCTCTTATACACTTCCTGAGACTAGTAGTTACCTTGTATATCCTAACCCTAGCCCTCAAATCTGGCTATGCATGAGAAGCTCTGGCGGAACTTTAAAAAAATATAAATTGTTTAGGACCAACCCAGACCCAAGAAAATGTCTAAGGGTAGGACAGGAACATACATATAGAGAGAGAGAACATATGTAATATATATATATAATTTTTTTCTTTTTTTGGAGACAAAGTCTGGCTCTACCACACAGGTTGGAGTGTAGTGGCATGATCTCAGCTCACTGCAACCTCTGCCTACTGGGCTCAAGCTACCCTCCCACCTCAGGCTCCCGAGTAGCTGGGACTACAGGTATGCACCATCAGGCCCGGCTAATTTTTGCATTTTGTAGAGACAGGGTTTCACCATCTTGCCCAGGTTGGTCTCGAACTCCTGAGCTCAAGCGATCTGCCCGCCTCAGCCTCCCAAAATGCTGGGATTACAGGCATAAGCCACCACACTCAGGCAAGAACATATACTTTTAAAAGCTTCAGGAGGCTCCGAATTGGTCTATGAGTAGACCTCGTATTTCACAGCCCTACAGTACCTAATGATGAGGTGGGTGCACAATAAGTCACTACTGAACTGATGTTGACTGAATAACAGAAGATCAGGACCTAACACTAGGTTGAAGCCTATGGAAAGGCACAGAGGCCTTTCTAAAAGGCCTAAAAGGCCAGGCTGAACTACGACAAAAGGCCAAACTAAAAAAACCCACTTCTAGCTTCAAAGCAATCAATAATCCTTTGTCAAGAGCTTTATCTCAAAGGCACTTTCATGTCCTTTCAGTAGATTACAGACATTAATATGGATTTTTTAAAAAGTAGAGATAGCTAAGAATAAACTAAAGCCAAATTTTACTTATTCTTTCTTTTTTTTTTTTTTTTTTGGTAGAAACTAGGGTCTCGCTTTGTTGCCCAGGCTGGTCTCAAACTCCTGGCTTCAAGCTATCCTCCTGCCTTGGCCTCACAAAGTGCTGGGATTATGGGCATGAGCCACCATGTCCAACATTTATTCATTTAAAACAAGTGACCAGGCCGGGTGTGACAGCTCACGCCTGTAATCCCAGCACTTTGGAAGGTGGATCACTTGAGGTCAGTAGTTCGAGGCCAGCCTGGCCAACATAGTGAAACCCCAGCTCTACTAAAAATACAAAAATTAGCCGGGCATGGTGACAGGTCCCTGTAATCCCAGCTACTCCGGAGGTTGAGGCAGAAGAATCACTTGAACCTGGGAGGCAGAGGTTGCAATGAGCTGAGATCATGCCACTGTACTCCAGCCTGGGCAACAGAGTAAGACTCTGTCTCAAAAAAAAAAAAAAAAAAACAAGTGTTCAGTAAGTGTTGGATAGTATATGTAAAAGCACTTTGAAAACTGGAATAAAATATGACATTATTACCTGAACACTAATGTGTTTTTTGTCATACGATCACTGCAAAGTAATCAAAAAAAGTTCAAGTTTAATGTAATTTTCCTGAATGGAAATCTAAAAGGAATTAATGTTTTTAAACTAACAATGAACAAAAGAATACTCAATTCAAATGCTGAAAACTACAATTTTCTTTTACTATTGATACTGTTATGGCAGGTAGAAACTTTCATCCAGATCTAAACAAAATCAGAAACCAGTATCATGAAGCTTTAATTTTTAAAGCTAATTCCCCAATACTGAGTTCCCAACCAAAGTAGCACTGCCTTACAATTAAATTAACACCATTTACAGAAGAGAATCTTACACCCTCATCACTAGTCTTAACATATTTTGGAACTTCGCTTGACCATTTTCTGAATCTCTTAGAATTCTATTGCAGTTTGTTATCCAAGTAACTAGAGAAAAAATGTTTAAGCTACTCATAACTGTCATTGTGATATAAATTCAATAAGTCTGAATTCTGTCTTGGGGCACATTACAGCTAATGGCCATGTGCCAGATTTCCTCGAAGTATATCCAAATCCTCAATATGTAGCAAGGAAACATTTACTTTTCAATAATTCCTCATCCCTATTCAGACTACCACTCAAGTCATCAAGATTCATAATTTTTTTCCCAAAAAATGCTATACCATCACTAGACATAATATCTCAAAGATTAATGATAAAAGGAAAAATTTACCAACAGTGTAGACTCAAATGTTAGAAAGGGTTATCAAAGGATACTGCAGATTTCCTGAGGTATCTCTTTGAATGCGAGTCTCTCTTTGAATATTTAAAAATTGAGTAAATTCTATCTTCCTGGGGTGTTTTAGGTTACCTGTTCAGTACCCAGGGAAGAAAAACAGATGACCTGTCAAGACTGGCAAAATTTTTAACATTTGAGGAAAAAATCCAATATTAACAAGACTGAAGGAAAAGAGGCAGTCTCATACTCTGCTGTTGGAAATATACGCCGATAACAATCTTTTCTGAAGAAAATTTGGCAATCTGCACTGATTTTTAAATGTATACTACCCTTTGACACAATGATTCCACTGTTTGAAATTTATCCTATGGATATACCTGCAAAAGTATGGACAGACACAGGTAGCTGGGACCACAGACGTGCGCCACCACGCCTGACTAATTTTTGTATTTTTTGTAGAGATGGGGTTTCACCATGTTGCCCAGGCCGGTCTCAAACTCCTGGGCTCAAGCAATCCCCCTACCTCGGCCTCTTGGGTAGCTGAGACTACAGGTGCATGCTATTGCTCCCAGTTAATTTTTTAATATTTTGTAGAGACAAAGTCTTGCTTTGCTGCCCAGGCCGGTCTCAAATTCCTGGCTTCAAGCAATCCTCCCACCTCAGCCTCCCAAAGTGCTGGGATTACAGGCGTGAGCTACTGCACCTGGCCTTTTTGACAGTTACTCATATAGATCTGTCCTATGACCCAGAAATTTTGCTCCAGGTTATCAACCCAAGATAAATAAAAATATATGTCTCCAAATAGACTTGTATACAAACATTCATAGCAATTTTATTCATGCAGCCCTAAACAGGAAACAATTCAAATATCCATCCACAGGACAATGGATAAGCAAACTGATATATTTCAACAATAGAATACTACTTGGCAATAAAAAAGAACTACTGATAAAAAGAAAAACTTGTATTAATTTTATAATCTGCTGAGTGAAAGAAGCCAAACACAAAAGAATACATACATGTGCTGTATGATTCCATTTATATGAAGTTCTAGGATCAGCAAAACTAATCTATCACGAGAGAAGTCAAACATCTCAGCCTGGTGGTGGTGGAGAGTGAGAGAGAAATGTTTCAGGGAGGCCAGAGGATTGACTGGAAATAGACAGGCTAGAACTTTTGGGGGTAATGAAAATGTTTTTGATCTGGTTTTGGCTGGTTGCTACCTGGATGTATATAATTTTCAAAAACAATTATCGATTTAAAGTATATAATTCAGTGGTTTTTAGTGTATTCACAGAGTTGTGCAACTAGCACCACAATCAATTTTAGGACATTTTCATCATCTCAAAAAGAAACTCCACACATACCCTTCAGTTATCTCTCTCCTGTGTTCCCTAGTCCTAAGCAACCACTAATCTATTTTCTGTCTCTATGGATTTGCCTATTCTGGACATGTCATAAAAATGGAATTTAAAAATGTTTTCAAGGTTCATCTATATTGTAGCATATTTCGGTACCTCATTCCTTTCATGGCCAAAAAATATTCCATAGTATAAATATACCACATTTTGGCCGGACACAGTGGCTCACATCTGGAAGGCCGAGGAGGGTGGATCATTTGAGGTCAGGAGTTTGAGACCAGCCTGGCCAACATAATGAAACCCTGTCTCTACTAAAAATACAAAAATTAGCTGGGCATGGTGGCAGGTGCCTGTAATCCCACATACTCAGGAGGCTGAGGCAGGAGAATCACTTGAACCAGGGAGGCAGAAGTTGCAATGAGCCAAGATCGCATCACTGCACTCTAACCTCGGGGACAGAGTGAGACTGTCTGGAAAAAAATCTAAAAAAATAAAAATAAATATACCACATTTTGCTCATCAGTTGATGATAGACATCTGGCTTGTTTCCAGCTTTTGACTATTATGAATAATGCTGCTGTAAACATCAGTGTACACATTTTTGTGAGAACTGTGCATTTTTTTTTCCAATTCACATTTATTTTTGGCTCTTGGAGCAATGTCACATTTTCAATATGAAAAAAGGCAGCAAGTTCAAAATAGAAATCTGTAGTGTAGGATAGAACAAAACCAAGTGTAAGTGGGAAAAAAGCAACAGCAAAAGGAAGATAGGAGATGTTGCAAAAAAGATGGAGGAGGGTTCCCCTTCCCTCTGGGGAATGACTCAAACACTGATGTGGCAGTATATACTATCCCACATAAAGTCAGGGATGTTAATCCTTTTTGGGGGTTAAGAAAAGGTGGAGATTAGGAGGGCATTTCTGGAGGCCTAGGGACCAAGGCTGATCTCTTTCCCCCCTTGATCCCCTTCTCTAATCAGGGGAAAGGGAGGAATTCAATATATGAGAGAGGTAGAGCCAGAGAGGGAAAGATTCCACTTGACAGAGTGGGGCAGACCTCTCCAAAGGGCAGAGCTTGGAGGGAGACTGAAAATGGAGAAAATACTGCTAACACCTCTCTTGAAGCTGAGAAATGGAAAATAGAAATACCTGGAAATTATGACTTTAATAGCCTGGATTTCCCTCTCCAAAACTTTTAGGATGGAAAATCCCATCCCCTTCCTTGCAGTGACTTCTACCTGCCACCTTCTACCATCTTTCGCTTTGGGCTTAGGATGGTGGCCATTATCCACATGGGCTTTCAAAACCCAGTTGGTTCTAAATGAGATCTGGATGAGACCCAGCTTCTTGGAGATTTTAAAAAGGAGGAAATATTAACTGGACAGATGGAAGGGATGGGCACCAGAAGGAAATACAGGGTCACCCAGAGTGGCAGAAACCTAGGCTTCCCAGAGTGGAAAGAGAAAGGAAACATTCAACAGACAAATACTTATTGAGTGCCTACTACGTGCTAAGCACTGTTCTAGATCTAGATTTGTGTTTCAGGCAGCAAACACAAATTCTGAGGTAGAGAAAAGGGGCAGGTGAGTAAGATGGCTAAGGGAACTGAGAAGCCTGAGGCGATGGGGGCTCTGCCTTAGGCCTCCTCTTCAGCCTCCTCACCAAAATCCTCCTCCTCTTCTGTGGTGGCATCCTGGTACTGCTGATACTCAGAGACGAGGTCGTTCATGTTGCTCTCAGCCTTGTTGAACTCTCGTCTCATCCATGCCCTCAGCTGTGTACCAGTGGAGGAAGGCCTTCCAGGGGAACATGGCAGTGAACTGCTCCAAGATGCACCTGAAGAGCTCCTGGATGGCCGTGCTGCTGCCGATTAAGGTGACCGCCATCTTGAAGCCATGAGGTGGGATGTCACAGACAGCTGTCTTGATGTTGTTGGGGATCCACTCCACAAAGTAGCTGCTGTTCTGGTTCTGCACGTTGAGCAACTGCTCATGGACATCCATCCACAAAGACAGCAGCCACGGTGAGATATAAGCTGTGGCAGGGGTCTCATTATGTTCTTGGCATTGAAATCCTACCTGATGAGTTTGGGCACTGTGAAAGCTCGATGCTGCTAGCTTCCACAGCTGGTGAGAGGGCAAAGCCAGCCATGAAGTAGTGGAGATGTGGTAAGGGCACCAGTTTGACTGCCAACTTGCGGAGGTCAGCATTGAGCTGGCCAGGGAAGTGGAGACAGGTGGTAACACTGCTTGTGGTGGCTGAGACAAGGTGGTTCAAGTCCCCATAGTTTGGTGTGGTCAGCTTCAAAGTGCGGGAGCAGATGTCATAGAGGGCCTCATTGTCAATGCAGTAGGTCTCATCAGTGTTCTCTACCGACTGATGGATGGAGAGGGTGATGTTGTAGGGCTCGACCACGGTGTCAGACACTTTGGGTGGAGGCACCACACTGAGGGTGTTCATGATGCAATCAGGGCACTCTTCTCGGATCTTGCTGATAAAGAGAGTACCCATTCCAGAGCCCATTGAGTGGGTCAGCTGCAAGCCCTGCAGGCAGTCACAGCTCTCTTACTCCTCCTGCACCACATCTACAACTGAATCAACCAGCTTGGCCCCCTCTATGTAGTGGCCTTTGGCCCAGTTGTTGCCTGCCCCAGATTGACCAAAAACAAAGTTGTCTGGTTTAAGCACCTGGCCAAAAGGGCCTGAGCTAGCAGAGTCCATGGTCCCAGGTTCTAGATCCACCAGGTTAGCACAAGGAACATATTTGCCATCTATGGCTTCACTGTAGTACATGGAGACACAGTCCAGCTGCAGGTCGCTGTCCCCATGTTAGGTGCTGGTGGGGTCGATTTCACGTTCATCACTGATCACATCCCAGCACTTGGCACCCATCCGGTTGCCACACTGACAGGCCTGGATGTGCACGATTTCCCTCATGGTTAAAATTTATTTTAATTTTTTTGCTCGCCTCAAGGTATGCATGGGGCAAGAAAATATGTAACTTTTTTTCTCTGCTAGTTGCAGGCTGAAAGGATGGAATGCACCCCAGAGGCTAGAGCAGCAAGGTGCAAATGTGGCAGCAGGAAGGTTCTGAGAGGCAGAACTGTGCATTTTATTGTATAAAAATTAGATCTAAATTTTAATAACAAATATAGATATGAAAAATTATATTGTTACTATAAAGCATGATTTCTGAGTATTTCAGTGGATGGCATGACAAAAATATCTAATAATGGCAATCAAGCAAATTATAATAAAAACATGCTATTTCAGAAGAGAAAAAAGTTGTATGTCAACAAGAACAACTAAAATGAAATATCATATTCATCTCCTAATGAAACAGAGGTTTCCTATATGCGTAAGGAAGCTGTCTGAAAGGAGGATTTAAGTCACTTCTTTACACACAAACTACAGCATAACTCTTAAAGGCTTCAGTGACCATACCACAGGAATATTTATTATCATCCAGACATCTCCATGTCCCATTAGCAACAAAATCAACACTGAAGTATGATCTAATTCTTTTGAGGAATAAAGAAAACAGTTTAGTCTATTTACCAAAGGCAGAAAATAGTTTTAAAATAATGTCTGTGTAGCATTGGGCACAACATTTACATACAGATACGGTACCTTGAGGGTGTCACGCTAGAAAACAAATTTTCTTTACAAATTAAAGAACAGACACTTGATGTATTTGTATTTCTATTAAAACTGCAATTGATGGCTACCGATAAAAGCTAGTATAGGGCTGAAGATTTGCAGTGGTGTCCTCTCCAAAACATAGCTTAGGAATACTATCATATGATTACTAATGTTGTATAAATGCATGAGAATGACAGATACCAAATTCAGGATATTGATTACCTCTTGGTGCTGGGGGAGGAGAGAGGGGAATATTATTGAGGAGGCATGCAGGAGTCTTCAATCATATTACAAATGTTTTGTTTCCTAAGTTGGGAGTCCTATTTTGTAACGGATTATGATCCAACCAATGAAGATTCTTACACAAAGCAGTGTGTGATAGATGACAGAGCAGCCCGGCTAGATATTTTGGATACAGCAGGACAAGAAGAGCTTGGAGCCATGAGAGAACAGTATATGAGGACTGGCGAGGGCTTCCTGTTGGTCTTTTCAGTCACAGATAGAGGCAGTTTTGAAGAAATCTATAAGTTTCAAAGACAGATTCTCAGAGTAAAGGATCGTGATGAGTTCCCAATGATTTTAATTGGTAATAAAGCAGATCTGGATCATCAAAGACAGGTAACACAGGAAGAAGGACGGCAGTTAGCACGGCAACTTAAGGTAACATACATGGAGGCATCAGCAAAGATTAGGATGAATGTAGATCAAGCTTTCCATGAACTTGTCCGGGTTATCAGGAAATTTCAAGAGCAGGAATGTCCTCCTTCACCAGAACCAACACGGAAAGAAAAAGACAAGAAAGGCTGCCATTGTGTCATTTTCTAGAATCCCTTCAGTTTTAGCTACCAACTGCCAGGAAAAGCCCTCATCTTCTCTTCCTCTCCTCAGTTTACATCTTGTTGGTACCTTTCTAGCCTTAGACAAATGATCACCATGTTAGCCTTAGACCAAGAAGCTGGCTAGTCCTTTCTGTGAAGCTAATACAATGGTCATTTCCAGACAAACTTAAAGGAAACACTAAGGCTGCTTCAAAGATTATCTGATTCCTTTAAAATATATGTCTATATACACAGACATGCTCTTTTTTTAAGTGCTTACATTTTAATAGAGATGAATCAGTTTTGGAATCTAAGCTGTTTGCCAAGCTGAAGCTACAGGTTGTGAAATAATTTTTAACTTTTGGAATCACACTGCCTACTGTTACTCTAAATAGAAATATAGGGTTTTTTTAATGTGAATTTTTGCCTATCTTTAAACATTTCAATGTCAGCCTTTGTTAACCTTAAATACACTGAATTGAATCTACAAAAGTGAACCATCTCAGACCTTTACTTATACTACAACTTTTGTTTTCTGGTGGCCAAAATACCAAATGCCTATTGTATTTATGGATTAAAAACTGCTCATAAAAGCCTGTGTTACTGCTCCTACTCTTGAAGATGGTAATATTCTACGTGGTCAAATATTTGGACTCATTTAGGACTTAGATATTTGAGTGTACTTGGTTTTTTAATTTAACTCTTTTTCACAGCCACGCTAAGGGTAAAAAGGAATAATTTCTGTCTGTCTTCCTTTTCAAGTATTTCTGGGTAAGGGATTCAAAAAACTAAAACTGTTTTTGTTTGTAATATAAAATATGGAATTGATCTTTCTGGGGTCAGAGATGATTAATGTTTTTGCTATATACTTTTATACATTATTTTCTTATCAAACTAGTTAACAAATATTTTTATATGTTTGTAAGCAGATACGCTTTCATAGCATACCTTGTGTATATGTAAAGATAAGTATTTAATTCTCACTGTTCACTTTTAACTGACAAAGAAAAACAAGTGGAAACTACAGAAACTGTGGTAGAACTTTTACTTGCTGGTCTGGTCTTGGTTGTACCCATCTTTGGCCAGTCACACATCTACTCAAGAAACCTTCCCAACAGAGTACAACAGGATGAGACTCTGAAATCACTTTCAGTATTCCCTGCTAGATATTGATTGTTATTTCAAGTATTAAGTGTAAGCTTTTAATGGATAATTAGTATAACTGTGGATGGCATCTGATTTTGTTTTTAATTCTGTGGATTGTATTTAAGCAATTCAATAGTATGTTCCTGATTTTGAGATGCTAAGTGGTATTGCACGGTTGTCACTTTATCAAGTGTGTACAACAGTCCCATGAAGTTTATAGAGCATACCCTTGTATAGCTTCAGGTACTAGAATTAAAATTGATCTGTTATCACAAAAAAAAAAACCAAATTAAAGAACATTCTTTTCCAAAAATGGTTAAAAATTATTTTTCATACTGTGATAAAAACAAGAGGTTTGGGCTGGGCGTGGTGGTTCATGCCTGTAATCCCAGCACTTTGGGAGGCCGAGGCAGGCAGATCACAAGGTCAGGAGTTCAAGACCAGCCTGACCAACCTGGTGAAACCCTGTCTCCACTAAAAATACAAAAATTAGCTGGGCGTGGTGGCACATGCCCATAATCCCGGCTACTTGGGAGGCTGAGGCAGAAGAATCGCTTGAACCTGGGAGGCGGAGGTTGCAGTGAGCCAAGATCGCGCTACTGCGCTCCAGCCTGGGCGACAAAGCAAGACTCCGTTTCAAGGAAAAAAAAAAGAAAAAAGAAAAAAAAAACAAGAGGTTTATTACTGGCAAACAAACAAACAAGAACCAGTTAAGCAGATCCATCATGGCTCCCTTTTGTAGTTGGGAAGGGAATTCTGGAAGTTATTGTGTTCCTACTCTTTTTGGGGGACTCTACTATATACTTTACATACATATATTTCCTCACTTAATCCACAGAACAGCCTTATAAGGTAGGTACTATATTCCCATTTTATAGATAAGAAACTAGGATTAACTGGCTAAGCTACATACTAAAGAGAGTGAAGAGGCTAGGTTCAAACCCAAGACTTCATTCATACAGAACACGTACCTATAATTCAGGTACATCCCTTACATATATATCACTTTCCATTCATAGCCACTATTTCTAAAAGTGTACCTGCACTATTATTGCCACTTTCTCACTTATAATTCTTTCTGAATCTCATCTGCTTCCATGCAAAACACTTCTTCAAAATTGCTCCAAGATTGCCAACGACTTTGTAACAGCCAAATCTGAAGGACACTTTTCATTCTTTATCTATCTAACTTTTGTGGCCTAATCTCTTACTTTTGAAACACTCTCCTTCCTTGGCTAACTGAGCATTCCCTCTCATTATTCTTAAATGGTTCTTCTTCTCCACCTATACCTTTAATTTTTTTTTTTTTTTTTTTTTTTTTTTGAGACGGAGTCTCACTCTGTCGTCCAGGCTGGAGTGCAGTGGCATGATCTCGGCTCACTGCAGGCTCCGCCTCCCGGGTTCACGCCATTCTCCTGCCTCAGCCTCCCAAGTAGCTGGGACTGCAGGCGCCCGCCACCACGCCTGGCTAACTTTTTGTATTTTTAGTAGAGACGGTGTTTCACTGCGTTAGCCAGGATGGTCTTGATCTCCTGACCCACCGTGCCTGGTTGTCTTTTTTATAATTTCTATTTATTAATATTCTCTACCTGGAGAAACATTGTTCTCATACTTTCCTTTAGTTCTTTATATATGGTTTCCTTTAATATATTTAAAATAGCTAGTTAAAGTCTTTGTCTAGTAAGTCCAATGTTTTGGCTTCCTCAGGGATAGTCTCTATTGACTGCTTTTTTTCCTAGGTACATAGGTCACCCTTTATTGTTTATCTGCATGTCTTTCTTTTTTTTTGTTGAAAACTGGACATTTTAAATAATGTAGCTTCTCTAAAAATCAAATCCTCCTCTTTCCCAGTTTGTTGTTGTTGTTGTTGCTGTTTATTGTTGTGGTTGTTTATTTAGTGACTTTTCCAAGCTAATTCTATAAAGTCTGTAATCTTTGTCCCACATGGCCACTGAATTTTCTCTTCCCTCAGCTACTGACTGGACAGAGATGTCCTTAAATGACTGAACTAAAAAGTCTCCTGGTCTTTACTGGACCTCTACCTGCATAATGTGGTACTCAGCCAGGCAGTTTACAATTCTACCTTAGCCTTTGCCTTTTGCTTGTGCAGAGCCCCAAGTTTAGCCAGAGGTGAGCTTAGGACCTTCTCAGGTCTTTCCTGAGCATGCACACAACTCTGACCTTATATACGCCATTAGGCTTCTAGATTCTCAGGAACATATCAGATCTTTTCAAAGCCCCCTATGGACATCCTACTCCCCAACTTTTCCTTTTTTTTGGTTATTTTGTTGTTTACCCCAATTGGCACCTGAGGTAGCTACTTTGTTGAACAGTTGTGGCTGATTTTTCTCGACAATTGCCTCTAGGGAAAATACTCTTTGCACTGGGTGAGTTTTCAGTGAGGTGAAATAAAGACAAAGCTTTCAAGTGGGGTTTACCAGGACACTGTCAGACAGGTCATATAATGACAGTTCTCTAAGGAAGGGGCTTTGAAAGAGCTCCAACTCTGTTCTGACTTGCTCAGTGCCAGCTAGGCTGCTAATTTTCACCATGACTGCAAGCTGTAGGTTTTCAAGGCTACAGTGGAGCTGCAGAAAGAGGGAGGTGTTAAGGCAGGTGAAAATGCCACAAAGCTCGTTGCTCTCACAGAGATTATGTTCTTTGTTGTTGTTTTAAGCACCCCCCACCTCCACTCCCAACAGATTGTTGTAAATCTGGTTAATTTTTAAAGTTATGGAAAAAGTTGATCTTGACAATTTTTGCCAGAGTTCTCCGAACTTTTATAAAGGACAGGATTTTTGGATGTTGTTATTTTGCCACTTCCCATAACATCACTGATCATCCCCATAATTCTTAGATTTCTTTGAAAGATATTAGATTGTTTAAAGCAACAATAATAATAGTATATTGTGAGGGTTATAATATACTTAGGAATAAGTGTATGGAAACAATAACACAAAAGATAGGAGAAGGTAAATAGATAGGCAGCTGTAAAAATCTTACGTTATATACAAAATGGCATAACACTATTTGAAGGTAGACTGTGATATATTAAAAATGCATGTTGTGGCCGTGTGTGGCCCATGCCGGTAATCCCAGCACTCTGGGAGGCTGAGGCAGGTGGATCACTTGAGGTCAGGAGTTCAAGACCAGCCTGGCCAACATGGTGAAACTCCATCTCTACTAAAAAAAAAAATACAAAAATTAGCTGGGCATGGTGGCACAAGCCTGTAGTCCCAGCTACTCAGGAGGCTAAGGCAGGAGAATGGCTTGAACCCGGGAGGCAGGGGCTGCAATGAGCCGAAATTGTGCCACTTCTTTCCAGCCTGGGCAACAGAGCGAGACTCCATCTCAAAAAAAAAAAAAAAGAAAAGAAAGAAAGAAAAAAGGAATTGCATGGTGAGGTTTGGGCTTAATTTTTTATTTAAAAAAACAGAAACCACATTGTACAAGTTTGTCATTTTATAATTAAGGAATTAAAAGTTAAAGTGATTGACTGATAAAAATAGTTTCACACGGCCAGCCAGTCAACAGCAGAGCCATAGTAAAATTCTTACTTTATAAATTCTAGTCCAGTTGTCTCAAGAGAAAATAATTTCCATGCAATGTCAACCATGTATACAACTACATATAAATAACATGCTCATTTCAAATGATTCTTATTTAGCAGGTCTAGTAAGATCTCTATTTGGAAACATCCTGAATTTAGTTTTAATTAATTCAAATTCTCATCAATTAATGAAGATTATTTAAGTGTGCTCTACTTAATGGAACATCAAAAATATTGAAGCTAAACAATCATTTAAAGCACCAGCTACCAAGTTCAGAGAATATAATCTTTCATTCAAATGAAAGACTAACTCATTCACACTTAAGGAAAAAATGATTTTAAAATGTATGAAATCTGTATGTAGCATTACCTGTAGCGCCTAGTGGGTGTCCCTTTGAAATCAGTCCACCACTAGGATTTATGACCCACTTTCCTCCATATGTATTATCTCCTCTATCAACCAGCGTTGCACCTTGTCCTATAGAAGAAAAAATAGTATTCACAAATATTAATAGTAACAATAGAACAAATGATATGCTTTTATAAGATTTCCATATAGCCAAGAATTTCTTGGAGCAAATATTTCTTAACAGTTCAAACTAACAATAATTTGACATAAGCACTTTTAAAAGTAATAAATACTTACATTTTCAGAACATTTCCTGTATGAAACAAAAGCTCCTATTAGTTCCTTAGAGCTCTCTGACTTCCAAAATTGCTCTAAATATGGTAGAGATTCAGAGAACTAGGAGAATAGAACTGAAATGGATATAATGCTATAACTAAAATAACTGTCAGCTTTAAAAATGCATAATTTTGCCAAAATGTGTTCTTTTCTATTTTCATCTGTACTGCTATATACTATATAAGTATTTTTAATAAATATGGAAAAACAGGAGAAAAAAGGCACTTTCATAAAATGAAGAGAAATGTCTGAAAACACTGTTGAGCCACAAAAGTAAGGTTAAAGAAAAAATTACTTCACATGCTTGGTGGCTTCAATGTTCCTGTCAATTTCCTGGTCATTTGGTCATTCTTCCAGATGCTTAAGAAGTAAATAAAAATGGATGTATTGTATAAAATTGTCTTCCACATCTATTTACGATAAAGTAATAAGATGTGGACGCTCCAAATAATGATAGTAATGATGGTGGCAATGCTGTCAAAGGTAGCTAATAGCTTTGAGCACTCACTCTGGGTCAGCTCTTGTTCTAATTATTTTCTGTATATATAGTCAGCATCCATGGGTTCCACATCATGGATTCAACCATCCACAAATCAAAAATATTCAGAAGAGGCAGGGCACCATGGCTGATGCCTGTAATCCCAGAACTTTGGGAGGCCGAGGCAGGTAGATCACCTGAGGTCAGGAGTTCGAGACCAGCCTGGCCAACATGGTGAAACCCCATCTCTACTAAAAATACAAAAATTAGCCAGGCATGGTGGTGCACCCCTGGGCGACAAGAGCAAAACTCTGTCTCAAAAAAAAAAAAAAAAAAATATATATATATATATATATACAGAAGAAAAAAATTACAAAAAGCAAAACTTCAATTTGTATGTGCTGAGTACTACATTGAATCCATGTGAATGAAGTGATATGTAGTTATTATACGTAATCTAGAGATTATTTAAAATATACAGGAGGGTGTGCATAGGTTATATGCAAAAATTATGCCATTTTATATAAGCAGCTTCCATGGATTTTGGTATCTGTGGGAGGTCTTAGAAAAAAAACCCCACAGATACTGAGTGATGACTATTTATAAAATTTAATATTCAATCCTATGAAGTAGGTGCTATCATTCTCATTTCCTAGATGAGAAAACAGACAGAGATATTAAGAAATCAACCAAGGCAACAGCAAGAGATCTAGGATTAATACTCAGGGAGCCTGGCTCCACAGCCTGTGTTCTCAGCTAATATATTATATTGCCTTCAAAAACAAAAGTTCCTCTGTTGGTAAAATGAAATACACTAATCACAGGATTTTAGATGACTGACACTTCTAATTTGGCTTTAAATCTAGGTTATAGATAAAACCATTGGCTAAGGCATTCTCTCTTTTATTTTTTGGTATGTTTCTACCTTGGAAATTGCTCTGAGGCTCTAGTCATAAGAGATAAATCTATCTACTATTGCTACTTACAAACTGCTAAATATTGTTTCTGTAGCAAGTAATAGCAAACTAAACACAAGCTAACCCCTAAAAGTGAATAATTCACTACACTTTTCCTATAATATATACAATCTTGTAAAGTATTAAAAGATTCCAAAGGGAAGTTATCTTGAACTCATCAACTAAAAATATTCAGAGATTAAAGTACTGTAAATGAACGCTCTCCCCTAGCATAGATAGGAAAACAAATGCATACGCTTTTGGAAAACAATTATTATACCTGTTCTGTACCAAAAACTAAACTAGGAACTTATGGATACAATAGTGAACCAAACGAAAATCCCTACTATCATGGAGTTTAAGTTATGTGGGGAGAGGGGTGAGGAAAAGACAGACAATATATAAAATAAGTAAAGAAATATGTAAAGTGGTGATAAATGCCAAGGGAAAAAAGAAAGCAGGGAAAGGGTATAGGACACATTGAGACAAGGAAGATGGAGGTGAGTGGTTTATATTTCAAACAAAGTGATCGGAGAAGGCTTCCACTGAGAAGGACATTAGTCAAAGACCTGAAGGGAGTGAGAGAGCAAATCATGTATGTTTGGAACAAAGGCCCTGAAACAGGAGCGAGCTTCCAGTGCTTGAAGAAGGAAGCCAATGTGGCTGCAGCAGAGTAGAAGATTCAGAGAAAAGCAGAGGAAGTCAGAGATGGGAGTGGGGAGTAAGGAGGACAGATCATATTTGGCTTGTTCGTCTGAGTGAGTTGAGAAACTACTGGGTTTTGAATGAATTAATGAACTGATTTGCTGCACATTCTAGCTTCAGTCTGGAGAGACAAGGCAGAAGCACGGGACCAGCCATAAGACTCCAACAATAATATAAATGAGAAACGATGCTGTTCTGCACTAGGCTGGCAGTGACAAAAGTGGTGAGATGTGGTCATATTCTGGATTTATTTTGAAGGTAGAGTCCATAGCCAACAGGACTTAGAGATAGATTTAATGATGATTGTGAGAGAGAGAAAAGAATTCAAGCCTGATGGTTTCCAGTTTAAGCAACAGGAGGATGGGGAAGACTGAGGGAGGAGAAAGTTTGAAAAATATCCATAGCTCAATTTTGGACTTAGGTTTGAGATGCTTATGAGACATCCAAAGAAACCCCTAAAAAGTAGGCAGCTGGATTCTTGAGTCTAGAGGTTGGAGAAGCAGTTCAAGCAAGGAGTATAAGTTTGAAAGTAATCATTTTGGCCAGGCCTGGTGGCTCACACCTGTAATCCCAGCACTTTGGGAGGCTGGGGTGGGTGGATCACCTGAGGTCAGGAGTTCGAGACCAGCCTGACCAACATGGTGAAATCCCGTCTCTACTAAAAAATATGCAAAAATTAGCCGGGCGTGGTGGTGTACCCCTGTAATCCCAGCTACTCGGGAGGCTGAGGCAGGAGAATCGCCTGAACCTGAGAAGGGGAGGTTGCAGTGAGCTGAGATCTCACCATTGTACTCCAGCCTGGGCAGCAAGAGCAAAACTGTCTCGGAAAAAAAAAAAAAGAAGAAAAGCTGGGTGTGGTGGCTCACACCTATAATCCCAGCACTTTGGGAGGCCAAGGCGGGCAGATCACCTGAGGTCAGGAGTTCGAGACCAGCCTGGCCAACATGGTGAAACCCCGTCTCTACTAAAAATACAAAATTAGCTGGGCATGGTGGCGCATGCCTGCAATCCCAGCTACTCGGGAGGCTGAGGCAGGAGAATCACTTGAACCCAGGTAGCGGAGGTTGTGGTGAGCTGAGATAGCGCCACTGCACTCCAGCCTGGGCAACAAGAGAGAAACTCCATCTCAAAGAAAAAAAAAAAAAAGAAAGTAATCATTTTATATCTGTATCTACATAAAATATTTAACTTTTAGATTAAGTTCCATATTAGGCAGAATATGTTCACTACAGTTTATCTCTTGCATTGATTACAACTGAAAACACTGGATATAAAAATAAAAATAAAAAAAACTGCCTGAGGACTCTGAAAAGTAAATAAAAGCAGGGGGATTATAGAGCAAGTCAAAACTTGGAGAAGCCACTGCATAAGGGTGAGGTCCTGGTTGTCTTTTTTTCTTTTTAGGCTCTCTCTCTCTCAACAGCTTTGCCCCAAGGTTGAGCACAGCCCTGGAACAGCATGGCAGCAGAAACAGCAAAGGTAGCTAAAACTCTAACAGAAACCCCATCTTCCTAACCAAAGGAACTAGGAAAAGAAATCTCTGCAGGCTGGAGAGTAAGGGAAGAAGTCTATAGTGGAGAGAGCCAGAGAAGAGGATCCCCTAATTCTGTGTATAGACCTGTACAAGTCTCAGGCTTACTCTGACGTAGGCATACATTTAGAGAGCTGAGCAAAGACTTTAACCACCACCCTCAGAAGGCAAGACAGAACTTATTGTCAGAACATACTGGCTTAAATGCTTGCTAAAACAAAAACATCAACATTCTCCAAAGGATCTATATAATAGGACATTCACCCTGTCCAGGATACAATCCAAAATTGTTTGCTATACAAAGAATCAGAAAATGTAACCAATACTCTCAAGGTAAAAGACAATCAACAGATGCAAAACCCAAGAAAGCCCAGATTATGGAATTATTAAAGACTTTAAAACAGCTGTTAGAACTACAAGGTAAAGAAAGCCCACTAGAAATGAACAAAAAGATGTAAGCTCTCAGCAGAGAAATAGAAACTATAAAATGAACCAAATGGAAATTTTAGAACTGAAAATACAATATTTGAAATAGAAAACTCATTAGAATGGTTCATGAGTAGAAAGAACATGAAGGAAGAGTCAGTGAATTTAAAGATATATCAACATAAATTATCAAATGTGAAGAACAGAGAGAAAAGGGGATTCAAAGTGAACAGTTTCAGGGACCTATGGGACAATATCCAAAGGTCTAATATATGCATCATTGGAAGTCCAGAAGAAGAGGAGGAAAAAATTGGGACAGAACATACATTTAAAGAAATAATGGCTGAAAACTTGCCAAATTTGGTAAAAGTTTTGCATTTTCAGACTTAAGAAACTCAGAAAACACAACAGAGAATAAATTAAAAGAAAACCATGCCTAGACATTACACAATCAAACTGCTAAAAATCTTGAGAATAGCTAGAGAAAAATGGCCCATCACATACAGAGAAACAACAATTTGAATGACCATGACTCCTCGTTAGAAACTATGGCGGTCAGAAGACTGAAACAACATGTTTTAAGTGCTAAAAGACCTGTCAACCTAGAATTCTATAATCAGCCCAGAGTTCCTTTAGGAATTAAGGTTAAGCAAAGACATTTTCAGTTGAAGGAAAACTAAGAGAATTCATCTCCAAAAGATCTGCTTTATAAAAAATGCTACAAAAAGTTCCTTAGGCTAAAGAAAATGATTACAGAGAAAAACTTGGGTGTTCAAGAATGAAGAGCAACAAAAAATGATAAATATCTGGATAAGTATAAAATACTTTTTCCCTCTTAGTATCTTTAAAATTATGTGTGACATTTTTACCCATGACATATAACAGACATCTAAGTGTATGACTGTTGAAAGCAAAACTTATAATATTATATATTGGGGTTTTCAATGTAAATAGATATAACACATATGACAATTATAACATAAGGGACAGTGTACGGCAAAGGGGAGTCAGTGAATGGACCTATATGGTTGCAAGGCTTCTACATTTTATGTGAAGTGGTACAATATTAACTCAAAGGAGACGCTTAAGGAGGCATACTATAATTCTTATCGCAGTGGTTCTCAACTGGAAGAGTTTTTTGTTTTTTTGTTTTTTTGAGATGGAGTCTCGCTCTGTCACCCAGGCTGGAGTGCAGTGGTATGATATCAGCTCCCTGCAAGCTCCGCCTCCCAGGTTCACGCCATTCTCCTGCCTCAGCCTCCCAAGTAGTTGGGACTACAGGTGCCCAACACCATGCCCGGCTAATTTTTTGTATTTTTAGTAGAGAGGGGGTTTCACCGTGTTAGCCAGGATGGTCTCGATCTCCTGACCTCGTTATCTGCCCGCCTTGGCCTCCCAAAGTGCTGGGATTATAGGCCTGAGCCACCGCGCCCTGCCAACTGGGAGAGATTTTACCCCCCAGAAGACATTTGACAATATTTGAAGACATTTTATGGTTGTTACAACTGTGGGGGGTGGTGCTACTGGCATTTAGTAGGTAAGAGGCAGGGATATTGCTGAATATCCTACCATGCACAAGCTGTATCACAAGAATGATAGAGCTCAAATGTCAATAGTGCCAAGGTTGATAAACCATGCTCTATAGCAACCACTGGGATAAACAAAGAAGAAAAAACAAAGAGATATGGTGAAAAAAACAATCGATAAGTTGAAATGGCATACTAAAAATATTTAAATAATGCAAAAGAAGTCAAGAGGAGGGGCACAGAGGAACAAAAATTACAGGGGACAAATAGAAAACAGATAATTAAATGACCAACCTAAATCCTACTGTATCAATAATTACATTAATTATCTAAATAAATATTGTCTAACAGAAATATAATGCCCACACAATACTTTTAAATTTTCTAGTATATATTTTATTTAATATATACATTTTATATATATATAAAATATTTTCATTCAACATGTAATCAACATAAAAAAATTATCAGTGAGCCAGGTGGCTCATGCTTGCAACCCCAGCACTTTGGGAGGCTGAGGCGGGTGGATCACTTGAAGCCAGGAGTTTGAGAACAGCCCGCGCAACATGGTGAAACCCTGTCTCTACTAAAATTACAAAAATTAGCTGGGCATGGTAGCATGCACACCTGTAATACTCGGGAGGCTGAGGCACAAGAACTGCTTGAACCCAGGAGGCAGAAGTTGCAATGAGCCGAGATCACACCATTGCACTCCAGCCTGGGTGACAAAGCGAGACTCTGTCTCAAAAAAAAAAAAAAATTATTAATGAAATACTTTACATTCTATTTTTCAATATTAAGTCTCCAAAACTCCATGTGTACTTCACACTTACAGCACACGTCAATTTGGACTAGCTACATTTCAAAGACTAAAGTATAGCTAGTGGCTGTCATTATCAGCACAGGTTTCGACACTCCAGTTAAAAGGCAGAAATCAACAAAGTAGATTTTAAAAAATACATTATCACGGCTGGGCGCAGTGGCTCACGCCTATAATTCCAGCACTTTAGGAAGCCTAGGTGGGTGGATCACCTGAGGTCAGGAGTTTGAGATGAGCCTGGCCAACATGGTGAAACCCTGTCTCTACTAAAAATACAAAAATTAGCCGGGCGTGTTGGCAGGTGCCTGTAATCCCGGCTACACAGGAGGCTGAGGCAGGAGAATCACTTGAACCCAGGAGGTGGAGGTTGCATTGAGCTGAGATTGCACCACTGCACTCCAGCCTGGGCTACAGAGAGAGTCTCCGTCTCAGAAAAACGAAAAAACAAAAAAAAATTATTGCTTACATGCTGCCTATAAGAGATACACTTTAAATAAATTAACATAAATAGGTTGAAAGCAAATGAATAAAATCTCATGCAAAGAATAAGCATAAGAAAGATGGAGTAGCTATTTTGGTCAGATAAAAGAGCCTTCCAGACAAATAATATAATCATAATACAAATTATCTGGACACTCCATCATCTTAGTGTTGGTACTGCCTAATACCACAAGTTCTAAAACGTCCACTACCAAAACAGCTTACATTCATTTCCCACAGTGTGGCAGAGCCAACGTTAAGGGAAAAGTGAATAGTGAATTCTTTTATCTAACGGTCAAAGTGAAGTTTTCTCAGTGAAATTTACTGAATTAATCTGCCCTATTCAAAGATGTTACCTTCTGGACAGAGTCCCAGTGCTTCATAAGTAAGGAGTTCGTTGGTAGAAAAGCAATCGTGAAGTTCTATTACGTCAATATCATTTGGTGTCAGGCCAGATTTCTCATAGCATTTTCTTGCAGCTTCTTTACTCATATCAAAGCCAACCTAAAACCAAAACCATATATAAATAAAGGGCACCAAAACTGGGCCTTTTAAACAAGTATTTTAAGAGATTAATAGATGCATAACCTTAACAACTGATAATTGACCACATATATTAAATTTTTGCCCAGGTGCATTGGCTCATGCCTATAATCCAAGCACTTTGGGAAGCTGAGGCAGGAGGATCGCTTGAGCCCAGGAGTTTGAGACCAGCCTGGGCAACAATGGAAGATCCTGTCTCTACAAATAATTTAAAAATTAGCCTGGCGTGGTAGTATGTGCCTGTGGTCCCAGATACTTGGGAGGCTGAGCTGGGAGGATCGTTTGAGCACAGGAGGTCAAGGCTGCAGGGAACCAGGATCACCCCACTGAATTCCAGCCTGGATGAAAGAGCAAGATCCTGTCTCAAAAAAGAAACAAAAAAAGAAGAGAAGAAGAAAAGAAGAAAAGAAAGAAAGAGAGGAAAGGGAAAGGGAAAGAAAGGGAGGAAGGAAGGGAGGGAGGGAGGGAAGGAGGGTCAGTCAATTGATTCTATATTACACAGAAAGTCTAAATAAAATAACATCTAGGAGAAGGATGTACATATTCAATTTTGTACTAAAAAATGACAGAATTTTTAAATAAAATATATAAAAAGGACCTAGAATTCCTCAGAGCATATCTTGTGCTAAGTTACAAAACTTCTGTCAAACTACAATGTATAGTTGTGATAAACAAGTTGAAGACATTTATTACCAGATCATTATGAGTCAGATACACTGAAAAATATGGGAGAATTTCTATATAAAATGACACAATCTTCTTTTAGAAGATCATCTAGGATTCAAACCATTTTTCCAAAGTCCATGTTCTTAACATGTTTTTCTCCTCAAATAATAAAATAACTTTTCTTCAAGGAATAAAACGGTGAGGCCAGGCGTGGTGGCTCATGCCTGTAATCCCAGCACTTTGGCACTTTGGGAGGCCGAGGCAGGTGAATCGCTTGAGTCCAGGAGTTCAAGACCAGCCTGGGTAACATGGCAAAATCGTGTCTTTACAAAAAAAAAAAAAATACAAAAACTTAGCCAGATGTGGTGGCACATGCCTGTAGTCCCACTTTCTCGAGAGGCTGAAGTGGGAGGATTGCTTGAGACTAGGAGGCAGAGGTTGCAGTGAGCTATGATCGCACCACCACGCTCCAGCCTGGGCAACAAAGCAAGATCCTGTCTCAAAGAGAAAAAGAAAAAGAAATAAAACTGTGGTATAATGAAAAATGTACTATAACCAGGAAACCTAAATATAAATTCCACCTCTGCCACAACCTAACTGTGATCTTGGGCAGTTACAAAAACATTTTCCAGTTCACAGTGTTGTTGTAAAATCATTTGTAAACTATAATTTAGCATGCAATTTTGTGTATTGTGTGTATGTCTTCAAATATTCAACTAACTCTAGGTCTGAATTTTCATCTTTTTTACTTTTTCCATTTTGTACTCAATCTTTATTCAGAATTTTTAAAGTGCTGAGGGTCAAGAAAGTTCATTAAAATCATCTTTGTGGCAGTGTGTGGTGATTCACGCCTGTAATCCCAGCATTTTGGAAGGCTGAGGCAGGTGGATCACTTGAGCCAGGAATTCAAGACCAGCCTGGGAAACATGGCAAAACTGTGTCTCTACAAAAAATACAAACATTAGCCGGCAGTCGTGGCATGTGCCTGTAGTCCCAGCCACTTGGGAGGCTGAAGTGGGAGGATTGATTGAGCCTGGGATGTGGAAGCTATAGTAAGCTGAGATCGCACTACTGCACTGCAGCCTGAGTGACAGAGTAAGACCCTGTTGAAAGAAAGAAAAGAAAAGAAAGAACAACAAAACAAAACAATCATTTTTCCCTTAACTCTGTAAGATTGGAGTTCTAGGCATAGTCAACTTAAAATAATGACAAATAGCATGTCTAGTTAATTAAAAGTTATTATATAATAATGCATGGCTCCATCACAAGAATCATGAGACTCCATCTTAAAAATAAAAATAACAAATAGAATCTCAGACATACCATTTTAATAATGCTTTTTTCTTCAAACGAGCTTGGCAAATCAGTCATCATTTCTTGTGCCAAAATTTCCACAGCTTTGGATTGCAGGCCATACTTCTGTACAAATGCTTCACTGGCCAAAATTGCTGCTGCAGCACCATCTGAAGTGGGACTAAGAGGAAGTAAAAATAATTCTCCACACCCAGTAGCACCTGATCGGAGGATTTCAGACTAGGAGTTACTTCTATGTGAAAGGAAAGGCCAAATATGCTTGCTGGTCAGTGGATTGTCTTCTTTGTGATATCTACAGTTGTAAATCACACATGCTTCCCACCTGAGGACTGAACCTCTATCAAGAACTTAAATGTTGTCAATCACTACTTGGAATCTAAGAGTCCCAAAAAGTTCTTTTTTTTTTTTTTGAGATGGAGTTTCGCTCTTGTTGCCTAGGCTGGAGTATAATGGTGTTATCTTGGCTCATTGCAACTGCAACCTCCTCCTCCCCGGTTCAAGTGATTCTTCTGCCTCAGCCTCCTGAGTAGCTGAGATTACAGGCATGCGCTACCACGCCTGGCTAATTTTGTATTTTTAGTAGAGACGGAGTTTCTCCATGTTGGTCAGGTTGGTCTCGAACTCCCAACCTCAGGTGATCCGCCCGCCTCGGCCTTCCAATGTGCTGGGATTACAGGCGTGAGCTACCACGCCCAGCCCCAAAAAGTTCTTATTGCAAAGAATTACCAATTTGCCTCTGGAGATGCATAAGGCATCTTCTGAGGAGTAAGTCCAAAAGGTTATTCCTATCCTAATACAATAAAGATTCTACTACAGACCGCCCCAGCTCCAACTTTGCTATCTCCAAATAACTCAGTCCTGAAATCCTTTTGGAAACTGGGAAAAGATAGCTTGGGAATACAAAACCATCTGCTTTAGTTAAGACTCTCGAGATCTTAAACAGATCTTTTTCTTACAGCAAACTGTGATGGAAGGTAGCAAACACAAGAAGTCTTCTGGGAGTTCAGTTAGACTTTCTAAATGGGCAGACCCTCATATCACAACAAATAAAAGCTGACCCGACTTATTTCTTTCCATCCCAGCCTGTATCTACAGGGCACAGCCAGGTGTTAACTAGGACACAGGCAGGAGCTAAGCAGTACTCACTCAATTTTCTAGGAGACAGATACTGTCAAGCACTTTGCAAGAAACAACTGTTATCATCATTAGAGCTATGAATTTTTCCTTGTTTTACTTTTACTCATAGCTACTATTATAGAGTAGAATTTCCTGTAGTAGAAGTACATAGCAGGGAAAACAAAATGCTTTGGGCTCCACTGGCCCCCAAGCCACAGTTTAATGAATAAATACAATTGCAATCACCAAAGTAGGTAGAAGTCCTGCAAGAAGAAGTAAAACACATCATTTTCCAAGAGAAGAGACAGTCTGTCTCCAGGCAGGAGTAAGAAGTAGGGTACTCTAGTGAAGTGACCCAGAGTGGGGACGGCACTGGGAGGAGTTCTGTGAAAGCTCCGCCCAGATGCAGAGCCTAAGGTTTAACCACAGGGGGGTGGCAGGAAGGGCAGCAGTTACTTCCCTCATTAAATGTTAAAATATATTTTTCTTACCAACATTGTAAGATAGTCAAAAAATCAAAAACTTCTTTAGATGCCATCACTTCATCTAAACTGTATTCATCTTGGAACTGGGAATACCTAAATACAAAATAAATATTAGTTACAGAATGTGAGATAGCAACTGTAATTTTTGTTGCAGAGTAAGAAACAGAATAATATGTAAATATTATTTTCACAACCAGAAGACAGATTTTTATGAATAGCCATAAATGTCATCTGAATTGACCTTTTAAAAAATCCTAACTCTAAAATACAGTATGTTTTATTTTTTAAAATTTGGTCTTTGTCCTGGGTTCCTGGCTTGGAGCTTCCAAAGCCCTTGGAATTTCCTGAATGATAGAAGTGTCTTTGTTATGCTAATGAGGTCACTTATGGTGGGCCTTGTTATCTTGAAAATGGGAGACTGACCACCAAAAGACCAACCATGTGACTACAGAGTTGAGACTTTTGAGCCAGCTCAACCTCTGAGAAGAAGAGGAAGGCTGGAGATTGAGTTCAGTTATGTGGCCAGTGATTTAATCTAGCATGCTGACATAATGAAGCCCCAGTAAAAAATCTGGACATGGTGTTCAGCGGGGCTTCCTGATTGGTGAACGTCTTGATGTATCCGGAGGATGACATGCCCTGACTCCATAGGGAAAAGGCAAGAAAGCTTTGCTTGGGATGCTCCCAGACCTCACTCTATATGCCTCTTCATTTGACTGTTTCTGATTTATATCCTTTATAATAAAACTGTAATTTTAAGTACTTTCCTGAGTTCTGTAAGTTGTTCTAGTGAATTATTGAATCTGAGGGAGTCATGGGAGCCCCTGGATTTGTGGTCAGTTGGTCAAAATATGGGTGGCATGGGCATCCCACTTGCAGCTAATGTCTGACGTATGAGCAGTCTTGTGGAGGACTGGGTCCTTAATTCATGGAGTTTGCATTAACTCCTAGGCGCTTCATGCCAGAATTGAGTTGCAATATACCCAGTTGGTGTTAGACCAGTTGGGGATTAAAACAGAATACCATATTTATGTTTCCTGGCAAATTAAAGAATACTAGTTCCTTAAAAGCAAAATCAAATCACCTGCAATTCAGCCAACTTTTGAGCCGATAATATTATACAAGTACATTAATTAAGGCTAATGGAGCTTTTAAATAAATGTACAATTAGCCAGGCATGGTGGCTCACACCTGTAACCCCAGCACTTTGGGAGGCCAAGGCAGGCAGATCACCTGAGGTCAGGAGTTCAAGACCAGCCTGGCCAACATGGCAAAAGCTCGTCTCAACTAAAAATACAGGCTGGGTGCGGTGGCTCACACCTGTAATCCCAGCACTTTGGGAGGCAGAGGCAGGTGGATCACGAGGTCAAAGTTCAAGACCAGCCTGGCCAAGATGGTGAAACCCTGTCTCTACTAAAAATACAAAAATTAGCCAGGTGCTGTGGCAGGTGCCTGTAATCCCAGCTACTCGGGAGGCTGAGGCAGGAGAATCGCTTGAACCCAGGGCACAGAGGTTGCAGTGAGCCGAGATCATGCCACTGCATTCCAGCCTGGGTGACAGAGTGAGATGCCATCTAAAAAAAATAATAATAATAATTAGCCGGGCATGGTGGCTCCTGTAGTCCCAGCTACTAGGGAGGTAGAGGTTGCAGGCAGCCGAGATCACGCCACTGCACTCCAGCCTGGATGACACAGCGAGGCTCTGTCTCAAAAAAAAGAAAAAGGGTCATTAGCCTAAATGATATTCTAAATATAAAGTGGCCAAAAACTGGAACTGAAAAGTTGTCAAAAGTTTACTTGCGTATAAGCCTTTTGTAAGAAAAAAATAAAACATTCTAGTTAAAATATTTGAGATCTTGGCATTTGCTTTTCAAGTATAAAGTTGCATATTATACAGTAGGATAACCCAGATTTTCATTATTTCATGTCTCTGAAATACTTACGGGTTATTAACTGAATGTTTATGATTTTTCCATCCAATTTTTGCAAAGTGTTCAATTTTTGTTCCTGTAAAGAAAGCAAACATCTACCAGTGGGTGAATGTTTTTCCGCTGCTTATTAACAAATCTTGCAATGGTACTCAGTGTTCTGCTAAATATCTCCATATTTTCCCTTTCATATATATCATCAGTATTAAAGACTTCAGCACTGTTCCCTCAAAAAATTTTTATTTATAATTAAATGTGGGCCTAATTAACGAACTGAATCAACTAATAGGCACATAAGATAAAAACAGTTCAAACTGATCTATTCTAATTAAAATAAGTAGAACCCAGTTTCAAAAACAAGAAACATGGTGGTTTTAAGGCAGGAGAACACTACAATTCCTCTAGGAGTCTGTCAAACACCCCAGTACGCTAGACTGAGAGAATTTTACACAACTCACACCCTCCAGGGCATGATAAGATATTTCATCTTCCTCCCTTTCCTTATGATAAAACAGAAAAGTTTTTAGAAGAGTTATATCCTGATAAGAAATATGTATGCCTTTTAAATTCCTTAACAGAAAATTTAAATAATCGTGTCAGGAAAACAAAAAAAAGTACAGTAATGAGGTAAAACACGCAAAAAAAATTTTTTTTTACTACTTTTAAAAAGATAAAACTGAATAAAATATGCTTTGAATTCTCATTTGGTGCTGTAAAGGCCAAAGAAAAAAGAAAGCCACCAATTAGAGCTGATAATGTTATATTAATGGCACAGTAAAGTACAAAGTTCCCCATGTCTGTTTTATCTCTCTCTTCTCTATCAAGGAGGATGATCTTCAGAGCAAAAATGACATACATATAATTAAGCAAATCTTATCTCAATTCTAATAAAAAGAGAAGATAAATTCCACACTTGTGATCTTCTAACAATAAAAATAGTGATCAGGGCCAAGCGCGATGGCTCATGCCTGTAACCCCAGCATTTTGGGAAGCCAAGGTGGGTGGATCATTTGAGGTCAGGAGTTCAAGACCAGACTAGTCAACATGGTGAGACTCTGTCTCTAGTAAAACTACAAAAATTAGCCAGGCGTAGTAAAAACACAAAAATTAGCTAGGTATAGTGGCATACACCTGTCATCTCAGCTACTTGGGAGGCTGAGGCAGGAGAATCACTTGAACCCGGAAGACGGAGATTGCAGTGAGCCGAGATTGTGCCATTGCACTCCAGCCTAGGTGACAGCGTGAGACTCCATCTCAAAAAAAGAATAGTGATCAGGAGGAGGCCAATATGGGTTCAATAAGAATAAGACAAGTCAAATTATGTGTTATCTTTTCGTGACTGAATTGACTGTTAGATCAAAGAAAACATAGTATCTGGACAGCAGCAAGAAAATTAACGAAATTTCTCAAAACATTTTGGACAAGATAAGGAAATATCGTAGTGTGGGATTTTGGGGGGTTATTTTCATTTTTATCTTTTGGTGTTACCAAAAAAAAAAAAAGAGGGTTCTTCTGTCAAATAAGTTTAGACTATGGTTAAACAAAGCTAAACACGTCTTTACTGTAAGACATTTGGAGCCTTTACTATTGCACTATGTGCATTATGACCATCTAGAAGAGGATTAAAGTATGAAGCATTTCCCAATATTACACTCATGTGAAACAACAGGCATTAATTAATGCATTGACCTAGAGAAAAGTTTCTAGCACTAACTTCTAACCTCAGCTCTGGTCTTGTTAATATTTCTATTACAAAGTGAGTAAGAAAACTAGAGGCTCTCTCACCAAACCTAAAGCTGGAAGGGACTGCTATAATGTTGAATTTCAACAAGGTCTATCAATAGGATGGATCAGAATATAAATTAAACACTCAGTTCTATTCTTGAACTCCCACAACAACCTGCAAAAATGAGCAACAACTATGAGAAACCTCAAGCTCAGTGAGATTTCATAGTGTGATGTGACTAGCAGAATAGCTTACATGGGATCACAGTACAGCAATTAGACTGCTTATGGGTTATGAAACAAGTCTAATGAGAGTAGTTAAGAGAAGAAATTAAATATAGGGTCAGGCTGGCTTCAGATATTTGAAGGGCTACAAGGTAAAATAGGCTTTTTCTGTCATTCTCAGAAGACAAAAACAAGACCATGGATGCAAACCATAGGGTGAGAGATTTGGGTTCAACATGAAAAAGGGAATTGTAACAATTGGAATCTCCTAAAAATTGGGATTGGTGGCCTCAGTTGGTGACAAATTCCTTGTTTTAGGAAGTACACATGCTTTATTGTCTCTATTAGATTTGCAAGCAATCCATGCATAGATTGGTAGGAAGAAGGGTGGCTAAAACAGTAAAGTACTTGGCATGGTGTCTGACATAAGAGATGTTCAATAATGTTCGTATCTTTTCTTCCTTTTTTCGTAACATAGGATCTGATTAATCAATAAAAGACAGCATCCCCTTGAAAAATATTCTGCCAGTCACTTACATATTTATTAAGCCTGGCCACTGATGAAGGGCTTATTGACTACTGATTCTGAATTGCCAATTAAGATTTTTGACTATTCAAAGGCTATGCCTTTATGTCAAACTATTTTAATATCCTATAATTTAATTATGAAACCACAAACTCGGCTGGTTCTACAAATGATTTAAACTACTATAAGCTTTCTTACATATTCATTTCTAGTGCACATTCAGAACACTCACAAACAGCAATTTTAAATAACAATTTAAATTATATAAAATTCTACAATTCATTTAGAAATCTGTCGAATGAAGAATAAAGAAACAATACCCCCAAATGATAGCCTCAGAAGCAAAAGTTTTTCACTGACCTTCTCCTACCCTCCTGTCTCTCAGGCCCATTCTCTCCTGAGGCTAACCATAGAAACTAGAATCCCTCTTCCCCAAGGCAGGTCATAGAAACCAGAACTCCTTTTCCCCAAAGCCAGTCATAAAACCTAGAAATATTACTTTAACTTCCTCCACCTTTCTGTGTAAAAACTGGTCATAAACAAACTATCTGACCTATCTTGTTTGACTGTGGGTCATAAGACCCCCATTCCAGAAAGGGACCTGCCCCACGCCCAGAAGGAAGGAATGTGTGCTCAAAGAGGCCAAGAAGAACCTAGATGGACAGGCCTGGCTGGGTTTCTCCACTCAGTCTATTAGCATTAGATCATATGCTTTTTGTCCAATCATATTTCTATAGGGCTGTTCCATACTTTGTTGAACCTAAGCATAAAAATGGACAATTTCCCATTTTTTTGAGTCTTCATTCTGAATGTTCCCGTGTACACACGTTAAATAAATTTGTATGCCTTTTCTCCTGTTAATCTGCCTCATGTAAGTGATTTTCAGTGAACCTTCAGAGGGTCAAGGCCCTTGTTCCCTACAATGACATTTCCACTAAAATAGTGTACATTTATATTTCAAATTTTAGACTAGAAAACTGTCCAATTATTCTGAGCAATGTAAAACTTGAGAAAATATATACACTTAAAAACACATCAGTAACAGGATTTCCAGGTAATTGAGGAAAAATGGAGGCCACGTAAATCTGTGTCTCTCGGCCGGGAGCGGTGGCTCACGCCTGTAATCCCAGCACTTTGGGAGGCCGAGGCGGGTGGATCACGAGGTCGGGATATCGAGACCATCCTGGCTAACACGGTGAAACCCCGTCTCTACTAAAAATACAGAAAAATTAGCCAGGCGTGGTGGCGGGCATCTGTAGTCCCAGCTACTCGGGAGGCTGAGGCGGGAGAATGGCGTGAACCCGGGAGGCAGAGCTTGCAGTGAGCTGAGATTGCGCCACTGCACTCCAGCCTGGGCAACAGACTGAGACTCTGTCTCAAAAAAAAAAAAAAAAAAAAAAAAATCTGTGTCTCTCTATAGCCTCTAAAACCAATACAGAATAACCAGAAAAAATAAAATAGCACAAATCATACTCTCAGCATAACTAGAAAATAGAAAATGCCAAATTTCAAATTATCTATAAGTTAAAAAAAAAAGAAAAAGAAAAGAAAAAATATATAAGACCAAATCCCAGCCAACAACTGCTCACGTTTCTACACAAACCTTTAAGGGTACATGGGCAGGCTGAGGAAACTGTGCAGAGAAGAGGGGAGATAATCGCAGGCCAACAACTGCTCTAAACTACCAAGAAAAGAAAGACCTCCTCCCCAAGTGTGAAAATACCAAGAAAATATTCCTATAGATCAAACCATGACTATATGGAATGGGCTGAAAAACACAGGAGATCTGAGGTGGGAATCTTAAAGGTATAAGTTCTGAGAGGAAAAAAAAAAGCAAAATGAAAGGGCAAGGTCCCTTTTGGTGCAATTGAGTAGTGAAGGAGAAAAGCAGCATAAGAGGACATTTGTATGTAAGAGGACATTTGTATGGTGCAATTGAGCGGTGAAGGAGAAAAGCAGCAAAAGAGGACAAGGTACACCTGTAGTCCCAGCGACTCAGGACGCTGAGACAGGAGTATTGCCTGAGCCCAGGGGTTTGTGGCTGTGGTGCACCATGATTGCACCTAAAAAGAGTCAGCCTGGGTAGTATTGCAAGACCCCATTCTACTACACTTACAGAAGAGGGCACCATAGAACTAAGAATCCCCTCAGTCTACAAACAACACACTCAAATCACCAGGCAATAAAACTAGAAATTACTAATAAAATTAAAAGTCCACCTGGAAATTTAAAAAATATTTCCATGAAATAATTCTTGGGTAAAAAATGAAAATAGAAATGGAAATTATAGAACTTGTCAGAAAATAATGATAATGAAAATACTACATATCAGAATCAATGTGATACATTTAACACAGTAATCAGGAAAATATATACCACTAACCATTTATTAATAAGAATAAATGAATGACATAAGGAATATTATTAAGCAGTAAAAAGGAATGAGGTCCTAATACATGCTATGACATGAATGAACAGTGAAAATATACTAACTTAAAGAAGCCAGTCACAAAAGGCCACTTTTTTTGTTTGTTTGTTTGTTTGTTTGTTTGAGATGGAGTCTAGCTCTGCCGCCCGGGCTGGAGTGCAGAGGTGCAATCTCAGCTCACTGCAACCTCCACCTCCCAGGCTCAAGCAGTTCTCCTGCCTCAGCCTCCCCAGTTGCTGGGATTACAGGCACACGCGACCACGCCCGGCTAATTTTTGTATTTTAGTAGAGATGGGGTTTCACCATGTTGGCCAGGCTGGTCTTGAACTCCAGACCTCAGGGGATCCCCCAACCTCAGCCTCCCAAAGTGCTGGGATTACAGGTGTGAGTCACTGTGCCTGGCCTTTTTAGAAAAAACAAACAAACAAACAAACAAAAACAGGGTCACACTCTGTCAACCAGGCTGGAATGCAGAGGTGCGACCTTGGCTTACTGCAGCCTCCTCCTTCCAGGCTCAAGCAGTCCTCCCACTTCAGCTTCCCAAGTAGCTGAGACTATAGGCATGTGCCACCACACCAGCTAACTTTTGTGGTTTCATCATGTTGCCCAGGCTGGTCTTGAACTCCTGGGCTCAAGCGATCTACCTGCCTCAGCCTCCCAAAGTGCTGGGATTACAGGTGTGTATCACCATATCCAGAAAGGCCACATATTGATTATATTTGACTCTTGAACAACACAGGTTTAAGCTGCATGGGTCCACTATAAGGGGACTTTTTTCAATGACAGTTACATCAAGTATGCCTGCCTCTTCTGCCTCCTCTTCCACCTCTTCTGTCTCTGCCACCTGGGACAGCAAGACCAACCTTCCCCTTCCTCCTCAGCCTACTCAACAAGAAAATGATGAAGAAGAAGAGCAACAAGGATGAAGATCTTTAAGATGATCACCTTCCACTTAATGAATAGTAACTATATTTTCTCTTCCTTATGATTTTAATAACATTTTCTTTTGTCTAGCTTACTTTATTATGAGCATAGTGTATAATATATGTAACATAAAAAATATGTGTAAATCAATTTTTTATGTTACCACTAAGGCTTCTGGTCAAGAGCAGGCTATTAGTTAAATTCGGGGGGAATCAAAAGTTATACATGAATTTCTGACTGTGCAGGTCAGTACCACTAAACCCCCTGTTGTTCAAGGGCCAACTGTACATTTATATAAAATGTCCAGAATAGGCAAATCCAAAGAAAAACAAAGTAGATGAGTGGCTGCCAGGAACTAGAAGAGGAGGTAATGGACTGCTAATGGGTACAGGGTTTCATTTTTGGTTAATGAAATGTTCTGAAATTAATCATGGTGATGGTCATGCAACTCTGTGAATATATTAAAAATCACTGAATTGTACACTTTAAAAGAGTAAATTATATGATATAAGAATTATACCTCAATAAAGCTGTTATATTAACAAGAAATAAAATATTGAATTCTCCAAGTCAAAAAACTAAAAATAAGAATAAAGTAAACCAAAAGAAAGTACCAGGAAGATGAAGAAATGAATGAGGGTAAAGAATAGAAAGAATAGACATAATTAATCAAAATCCTGTTATTTTGAAAAATTTAACAAAAGAGACAAACTACCAGCTAATTTCATCAAGGGAAAAGGGAGAAACCATAAATGCACACAAAGAATAAATGACAAGAGAGGCCGGCGTGGTGGCTAACACCTGTAATCTGGCACTTTGGGAGGCCAAGACGGGCCGATCACCTGAGGTCAGGAGTTAGAGACCAGCCTGACCAACATGGAGAAACGCCATCTCTACTAAAAATACAAAAAATTAGCCAGGCATGGTGGCACGCACCTGTAGTCTCAGTTACTCAGGAGGCTGGGGCAGGAGAATTGCTTGAACCCAGGAGGCAGAGTGTTACAGGCCAAAAGAGTGAGGGTCGTGACTGACTCAGTATACCACTGGAGGCTATATGAGCAAACAGGAAACTGGATGAAAGCAGGATGTTGGAAAACTGACAACTGCATCTGCTGCCAGAAGGGGTGCTGAGGGCAGTCACACCCCAAGCACAGTGTTCCTTGTGATTATCTATAGGAACATCGGAAACCTGTTGTACAAAGAAAGCAATTGTGTGTACCTGTGATAAATCAAGCAGCGGACCAACAGTTACCTCTGCCTCCCTGCTCTTTCTACCTAATAAATATGAAGGGCTGTAAAAGCTCAGGGTGCTTGTTCACTAGAAGCAAGGAGCCCCCTGACCCCTTCTTTCAAAACAGATCTTTTTGTCTTTCTCTTCATTTCTGCATTTGTCCCCCTTTGTTCAATCCCATAGCAATTGACAGCAACAGTGGAGGTTGCAGTGAGCCAAGATAGTGCCACTGCACTCCAGCCTGGGCAACAGAGCAAGACTCCATCTCAAAATAAACAAATGACAAGAGGAGAATATCATTGAAATAGAAATAAAAATTTACATTGTTAAAATACTACTTTTCAGACTTCTATACAAATTGATTTGAAAATCTAAATGACGTGGATAATTTCCTGGAGAACTACAGACTACCAAAATTGGCCCCATTGGATATAGAATGTTTAAACATTAAAAAAAAAAAATAGATTACCAAGCCAAAAAGAAAGAACCAGGCCCAGATTATCTCACAAGGAATTCTACCAAACCTACAAAGCAGTTGGTTTCAAAGTTCCATAAATTGTTTCAGAGCATTAAAATAGCTTCCTATTTCTTTTTTTTTAATTGAGGAGTCCCAGTCTGTTGCCCAGGGTGGAGTGCAGTGGCACAATCTCGGCTCACTGCAACCTCCACCTCCCAGGTTCAACCGATTTTCCTGCCTCAGCCTCCTGAGTAGCTGGGATTACAGGCGCCTGCCACCATGCCTGACTAATTTTTTTGTATTCTTAGTAGAGACAGGGTTTCACCATGCTGACCAGGCTGATCTCGAACTCCTGACCTCAGGTAATCCGTCCACCTTAGCCTCCCAAAGTGCTGGGATTACAGGCATGAGCCATCGTGCGTGGCTCCTATTTCTTTTTAAGACGGAGTCTTGTCCTGTCACCCAGGCTGGAGTACAATGGCATGATCTCGGCTCACTGCAACCTCCACCTCCCGGGTTGAAGTGATTCTCCTGCCTTAGCCTCCCAAATAGCTGGGATTACAGGTGCATGCCACCATGCCGGCTAATTTTTTTTTTTTTTTGTATCTTTAGTAGAAATGGGGTTTCGCCATGTTGGCCAGGCTGGTCTCAAACTCCTGACCTCGTGATCTGCCTGCCTCTGCCTCCCAAAGTGCTGGGATTACAGGCGTAAGCCACCACAACTGGCCCCTATTTCTTTAGTATAAAATTAACACCCAAACTTGATAACAATAAAATATATATATATATATCACTTACAAATAATGATTTGAAATTACTAAATAAAATAATAGCAACAGAACCTAATTCCATGTTAAAAACAGCAATACACCATGATCAACCGGCATTTATTCCAGATATGCAAACTTGGTTTACTGTTAGGAATCCATTACTAAAATAGTCCAGCCATAGATCTAAGTGGGGAACATAATGCAATTATCTCCATAGATACTGGAAAAGCTACAAAATTCAATACCCATTCCTGGAAAAAAAAAAACTCAAGAAAATAGACACTGACGGATACTTTTTCAACATATAATAGATATATCTATGTGCTTAACTCAGTACCTTACTTAAAACACCAAGATCAGGAACAGGACAAGGATGCTTACTGTCTTCCACTGCTACTTAACATTGTACTGATGGTATTTGCAAATACAATTAGATAAGTCAGTTCAAATATTACAATGAGAAAAGAAGTAGTAAAACCATCTCTTTTTGTAGATGATATAATATAGCTGCATATGTGGAAACCCCTATAAGTAAAATCAATAATAAAACTAACTCAAAAATTAAAAACTTCAGTGAGATAGCAAGTCATAAGATTAATATATAAAACTCAATAGCTGGCCAGGTATGTGGCTCACACCTGTAATCCCAGCACTTCGGGATGCTGAGGCAGGTGGATCACTTGAAGTCAGGAGTTCAAGACCAGCCTGGCCAACATGGTAAAATCAGGTCTCTAATAAAAAAAAAAAAAAACTACAAAAATTAGCCAAGCTTGGTGATGCGCACCTGTAATCCCAGCTACTTGGGAGGCTGAGGCAGGAGAATCGCTTGAATCCAGGAGATGGAGATTGCAGTAAGCCAAGATCATGCCATTGCACTCCAGCCTGGGCAACGGAGCAAGACTCCATGTTGGGGGGAAAAAAAAATCAGTAGCCTTTGTATACACAAGCAACGACCACCTTGGAGGATATAACACCAGTGAAAAGTCCATGTGCAATAGCAGCAGCAAGGATGATTAAAGGAATTAAAGAAGGTATTTAGGAATAAGTTTAACAAGAAATAAAACACTTAGATATGAAGAAAACTTTAAAACACTCCTGAAAGACACAAAGACAGAACTGAATAAATAAAAAGATAATCCCTGTTCTTTGACAGGACAACTCAGCCTCATAAATACATCAGTTTTCCCTAAATTAACAAGATTAATACAATCCTAGTAAAAATACCAATAAGATTTTTTATGGAGCTCAACAAATTGAGAGTAAAGTTCAAATGGAGAAAACAAAAAAAACCCATGCACATAACCTATGCATAAATGGAGGCAAGAAAACACTGAAAAAGAAAAACTATGAGGGCTCTTGGGCCAGAAAAAGATGTTAGTGAGATAACTGGTGAAATTTAGAATGAGGTCTGTAGATTATATAATAGCATCATATCAATATTAACTTCCCAATTTTTATCACTGTAGTGACTATGAAAGAACTGCAACTTACTCTCAAACTTTTTTAAATTAATTTTGTTGTTGTTGTTTGTTTGTTTGTTTGTTTGTTTTTGAGATGGAGTCTCGCTCTGTTGCCCAGGCTAGAGTGCAGTGGCGCGATCTCGGCTCACAACCTCTACCTCTCGGGTTCAAGCAATTCTCCTGCCTCAGCCTCCCGAGTAGCTGGGACTACAGGTGTGCACTACCAGGCTCGGCTAATTTTTTGTATTTTTAGTAGAGACGGGGTTTCACCATGTTGGCCAGGCTGGTCTTGAACTCCTGACCTCAGGATCCGTCCGCCTTGGCCTCCCAAAGTGCTGGGATTACAGGCGTGAGCCACAGCACCCAGCCTTACATTTTTTAAAAATTACATAGCAATATAGGTAAAAAGAATTCATTAAAACAACAAGCATGGCAAAATGTTAATTTTTAGAAAATCTAGAGGAAAAGTATTAGGAATTCTTGTACTATTTTGGCAACATTCTTGTTCAGTCTGAAATTACTTCTAAACAAAATATTTTTAAAGTATATTACAATATACCTCTAAAAATGAAGCATATCATCTTTTAAAATCGACAAACCTGGGCCAGGCACGGTGGCTCACACCTGTAATCCCAGCACTTTGGGAGGCTGAGTTGGGCGGATCACGAGGTCAGGAGATTGAGACCATCCCGGCTAACATGGTGAAACCCCGTCTCTACTAAAAATACAAAAAATGCCATGTGTGGTGGTCGGGTGCCTATAGTCCCAGCTACTCGGGAGGCTGAGGCAGAAGAATGGCGTGAACCCAGGAGGCGGAGCTTGCAGTGAGCCAAGATCATGCCACTGCACTCCAGAGCGAGACTCTGTCTCAAAAAAAAAAAAAAAAAGAGAGAAAAGAAAAAAATTTGACAAACCTTTCAAATGACAACCATAAACAAATTTAATTTCAAATTATAATCTGGCCACATTCATTATCTAATTAAGTAATTTAAAATATTTATGATTTTTAAACAAAAATGCTATTACAATATTCAGTTTTCCTTCCCCTTCACAAAATAGGTCAAAAAAGAAAAAAGGAAAGCCAAGCACAAATGAAAATTTCAAGCAAAACATGTTTCTGTACCTATAATAAATGCTAACAAAAAGTACTTAATGTCCCTCAACTATGTACAGGAATGACAAGAAAACTAAAAGTTAATATACAGTAAAAGCTTTTTATTATTTAAAATTAAATATAGCTATATGAGAAACAATGAAAAGAATGGAGGTTTTATAGTATGGCAGATTTGGGTGTGAAACCCTCTCCTATCACCTATTAGAAGAAGTTACTCAAATTCTCCAAGCTTCAGGTTCCTCATATGAAAAATAGGCATACACTTACCTCTTAAAATAGTTGTTATATTTGGTGTGTAAAATATCTAAGATGTGTGAGGCACGCAACAAAGAGCAGCTACTATTACTGGGAGAAAGGGCTGCGCAAGGGCTTTTGAGTGAGACAGAAATAGAATGGAACATAGGCTCTGCTACTTATTGACCCTATCATCCTGGTCAAAAACTTGTCTGAATATCAGATTCTTCTGGTATAAAATGAGATAATAACACCTCCGATAATGGATTCTTGTGATAGCTGAATAAGATAACATACATATGGAAATTCACTCCTTCATTCAATAAATGTTTCTTGAGTATTTAAATATGCTGCAGACTATAGAAGAGAAAGAAAAAAAAAAAACTTCTTTCTGGTTAAATAACATGCCAAGCTCTGTGCTTGGCTGTGTATATCAAGGTAAACAAAGCAGACATGGACCTGCTTTCGTGGAGTTTATAGACTAATAAGGAAGATGAAAATTAAACAAGTAAAATCACATATGATAAATATATGAACATAAATAGTGCTAAGTGCTATGAAGGAAGCAATATGAAGCTATCTAAGAAAGAGGATAACAGGAGGGGACTACTTTGATTTGAATAGTCATGGAGGGTCTTTCTAAATTTTAAAGATGAATTAATTACACAACACTGATTTGTGCCAGGCACTATTCTTTTTTTTTTTTTTCTTTTATCCTTGGTTTAGCCAGGTACTATTCTAGGTTAACAATCAATGTGCAGGAAATAAGACAAATAAAAATCCATGCTTTTGTTGAACTTATATTCTGGTTGGAAGAGTCAATAAACAAGAATATATATATATATATCATGTTATATGGCACCTGTAATAATCTGACATATATGTATGTGTCAGATATATGTCAGATTATTATAGGTGCCATATAAAATGATAAAGCAGGAGATAGTGAATAGGAAGTTCTGGGAAGGAGAGTGATGAAAGAAAGCAGAAGGTGGCTTTTAAGCAAAGACCTGATGGAAGCAAGGGAGCTGGCTCTGACAATCTTAGGGTAGAAGCTAAGGCCCTACCTGAAGAAAAGCTTGGTGTGTTTGAGGAACAGAAAGAAAGGATAGTGTGGTTGGAGCAGACTAGTGAAAGAAAAAATGGTCGGAGATACAGTCAGAGAGCTAATGAGGGTGAAGGGAATGATCATGTAGAAGCTCATAGGCCATAAGAAGACATTTGGGTTTCAATCTGAATGTCATGAGAAACAATGGAGAATTTTAAGCACAGGAGTGAAATGATCTGATATATTTTAAAAGCATGGCTCTGGCTATAAAGTAGAGAATTGACTCTGGAGGTGCACAAGCAGAAGTAGAGAAACCAGTTAGAACACTCCTAAATTTCAGGTGCGAAATTATGCCACTACAGCAAAAGTAGCAGAAATGGTGAGAAATGGATAGACTGAGAATATAGAGAAAAGGCTTGCTGATATATTGAATGTAGAGTATGAATAGCTTGATCTTTCACCTCTTCTTGGTTGACATTTTAAGATCCTCAATTTATAGTCCATGGCCAGTCATGGTGGCTCACGCCTGTAATCCCAACACTTTGGGAGGCTGAGACAGGTGGATCACTTGAGCTCAGAGTTTGAGACCAGCCTGGGCAACATGGCAAAAAGCCACCTCTACCAAAAATACAAAAAATTAGCCGAACATGGTGGTGCACATCTGTAGTCCCAGCTATTCGAGAGGCTGGGGTGGAAGGATCGCTTGAGCCTGGGAGATGGAAGTTGCAGTGAGCCGAGATCGCACCACTGCACCCAACCTGCATAACAGAGTGAAACCCTCAGCTTGGAAAAAAATAATTTATAGTCCATGATTAAAGGAGACAAGATTTGTGTTATTTTTCCTATTTCAACTTCCTGCTATAGAGTACTCTAGGTACTTCCCATACCATAGTCTATATATAAATACTTTCTCTATGACTAAGTTCTACAAGAACTATTACTTCGATTTAATTCAAAAAACATTTTACATCTTATATATCCTGGCATCCTCCACAGTTCCTTAATAAATAACTGTCATTTCTCATCTCATGTATATAACTAGTAAGAAGCCTCAAAGTTTTTTAACTGTAACATACCATATTTTTCCATATGTTCTTTTCCAGCATACCCAAACATCTGAGGAGCAACTGGGTGAGCAGACAATCCATACTTATTGATCAGGAGGTCAACATGCTTATCAGTGGGAATGGTTCTATCTGAAAACTAAGAGGGGGGAACAAAATTTCATAAGCAGCTGACATGATAAGTGTCTCTTTCAAAACTACTACAGTGCTATTAAGATATTTATTTATTCTAAGCACATAGTACACCAGAAATTGTCAATGTGAATCAAATCAGTTAAGACATGCTCCACAGGGAAACATGGGAAGAAGAAAAAATAATCAAGTGACCAAAGAGGTATTAACTCTTTCAAGAAATATTTATTGGGCATCCAGTATGTGCCAGTAACTATTCCATCCTGTTGTGGGGTGGGGGTTGGGGGGAGGGATAGCATTAGGAGATATACCTAATGTAAATGACAAGTTAATGGATGCAGCACACCAACATGGCACATGCATACGTATGTAACAAACCTGCACGTTGTGCACATGTACCCTAGAACTTAAAGTATAATTAAAAAAAAAAAAAAAAAAAAAAAGAACCAAAGGAAATAGGCTGGGCGTGGTGGCTCACACCTGTAATCCCAGCACTTTGGGAGGCTGAGACGGGTGGATCACTTGAGCTCAGGAGTTCAAGACCAGCCTGGCCAACATGGTGAACCCTATCTCTACTAAAAATACATAAATTAGCCAGGTGTGGTGGTATGCACCTACAGTCCCAGCTATTCGGGAGGCTGAGGTGGGAGAACTGCTTGAACCCAGGAGGTGAAGATTGCAGTGAGCCGAGATCACACCACTACTGCACTCCAGCCTGGGCGACAGAGTGAGACTCTGTCTTGGGAATGAATAAATAAATAAATATACACACACACACACACACACACACACGCACATAATATATACACACAACACACATATATACATATATATACACATACATATATATACACATATATACATACATATATACACATATATACATACATATATACATATATACATACATATATACATATACATACATATATACATATATATACATACATATATACACATGTATATACATACATATATATACACACATATACACACACACACACACACACACACACACACACACACACATATACATAGTAGCCAGGCATGGTGGGTCATGCCTGTAATCCCAACACTTTGGCAGGCCCAGGTGGAAGGCCCACCTGAGCCCAGGAGTTCGAGACCAGCATGGGCAACATAGCAAGATTCCGTCTCTGCAAAAAATTAGCTGGGCGTGGCTAATTTAAAATAAAGAATAAATTAAACCCAAAGTAAGGAGAAGAAAGGAAACATCAAGAATGAGAGCAGATTGAAATAGAAAATGAGCAGAATGAAAAAGAATGAGTAGAAGTGAGTAGAATAAACTAGAAAAAAGAATATAGGCCAGGCGCCATGGCTCATACCTGTAATCCCAGCAATTTGGGAGGCCAGGCGGGCGGATCACGAGGTCAGGAGTTTGAGGCCAGCCTGGCCAACGTGGTGAAACCCCGTCGCTACTAAAAATAAAAAAATTAGCTGGGCGTGGTGGCAGGCGCCTGTAATCCCAGCTACTCAGGAGGCTGAAGCAGGAGAATTGCTTGAACCCGGGAGGCAGAGGTTGCAGTGAGCTGAGATCATGCCATTGCACTCCAGCCTGGGCGGCAGAGTGAGACTCTGTCTCAAAAAAAAAAAAAAAATTGAAAATCAGTAAAAACAAAAGCTGGTCGTTTTATTGTAAACTTTCTTTTTCCATGATCACCCTGACAAAAGATGACCATGGAAAAAGAGAGAAGATAAAAATTACCAACACCAGAAGAAGGGAAGGGAAAAGACACGTCCAAAGATCCTACATTAAAAAGACGGGAATAACATGAATGACTTTTTACCAATAAGGTTAATAATTTAGATGAACTGGACAAATTCCGTGAAGGACATAAACTATCAACGCTCACTTTACAAAAAAAATAGACAACCTCAATAGTAATATATTTATATATAAACTCAGAAGATTGAAAACTTTCCCATAAAGAAATCACCAGGCCATGACCCAAAGATGAGAATGCAAAAAAAAAATATTTTTTAAATTAAAAATATTTTAGGGCTGGGCGCGGTGGCTCATGCCTGTAATCTCACTTTGGGAGGTCGAGGCGGGTGGATCACCTGAGGTCGGGAGTTCAAGACCAGCCTGACCAACATGGAGAAACCCTGTCTCTACTAAAAATACAAAATTAGCAGGGCGTGGTGGCGCATGCCCGTAATCCCAGCTACTCGGGAGGCTGAGGCAGGAGAATCGCTTGAACCTGGGAGGTGGAGGTTGCGGTGAGCCAAGACTGCACCATTGTACTCCAGCTTGGGCAACAAGAGTGAAATTCCATCTCAAAAAAAAAAAAAATTTTTTTTAAAGAAAAGAAAAGAAGTCACCAGACCAGATGTGAACTGGTGAATTCTACCAAAAATTTAAGAGAAAAAAATACCAATTTACATATAAACTACTCCAAAAAACAGAAGAGAGGAGAACACTTCTCAGCTATTCTATGAGGCCAGCATTATTCTCGTATTAAAACTAGACTGGGTGTGGTGGCTCACACCTGTAATCCCAAAACTTTGGGAAGCCAAGGTGGGCAGATCACTTGAGCCCTGAAGTTCAAGACCAACCTGCACAATGGAAAGAAAAAAACAAACCAACACCCTTGCGGACATAAACACAAAAATCCTTAACAAAATTTTAACAAATCAGGCCCGGCGCAGTGGCTCACACCTGTAATCCCAACACTTTGGGAGGCCCAGGCGGGAGGATTGCTCGAGCCCAGGAGCTTGAAACCAGCCTGGGCAACATAGGGAGAACCCGTCACTTAAAAGAAAAAAATTAACAAATCAAATCCAACAATATACAAAAAGGATAATATATCATGACCAAATACCAAACATTACCCCAGAATATGGGATAGACTAACAATCAAATATCAATCAATATAATTCATCATATTAACAAACTAAAAAAGAATAACAAACAAAATAAGAACATCTCAATAGATAGCTAAAAAGCTTGTGAAAAAATGTGGCCAGGCGCGGTGCCTCATACTTGTAATCCCAGCACTTTAGGAGGCCGAGGCAGGTGGATCGCCTGAGGTCGGGAGTTCAAGACCAGCCTGGTCAACATGGTAAAACCCCGTCTCTACTAAAAATACACAAATTAGCCCGGCATGGCGGTGGGAGCCTGTAATCCCAGTTACTTCGGAGGTTGAAGCAGGAGAATCGCTTGAAACAGGGAGGCAGAGGTTGCAGTGAGCCAAGATTGTGCCACCGCACTCCACTCCAGCCTGGGTAACAGAGACTCCATCTCAAAAAAAAAAAAAAACTTGTGAAAAAATTCAACAGAAGGACTGACACTACTCAATTTTAAGAGTTACCTAAAGCTACAGTAATTAAGACAGTGTGGTATTGACAAAAAAAAATTCAGACAAATTAGACAAATAGATAAATGGCACAGAATAAAGAGTTCACACATAGACCTACATAAATATATGACAAAGAAGCAAAGGCAATATAATGGAAAAAAGATAATCTTTTCAACAAATGGTGCTAGGACAACTGGACATCCACATGAAAATAATGAATCCAGGCACAGACCTTACACCCTTCACAAAAATTAACAATGACAAAGAAGCAAAGGCAATATAATGGAAAAAAGATAATCTTTTCAACAAATGGTGCAGGGACAACTGGACATCCACATGAAAATAATGAATCCAGGCACAGACCTTACACCCTTCACAAAAATTAACTCAAAATAGATCACAGACCTACATGTAAAACACATGTGACAGAAAACCTAGATGACCTTGGGTTTGGCATTGGCTTTTTAGATACACCACAAAAGGCACAATTCATGAGAGAAAGAATTGAAAAGCTGGACTTTGTTAAAATTAAATTTTCCTCGGTTGCCCAGGTTGGGGTGCAGTGGCACAGTCATGGCTCACTGTATATCAATATGTTCTAATCAGGAAAGGTGTTCAACTGTTAATTGAAAAAGTAACATGTAAAATATCATTAATCTTCTCTATATATTTACAAAGGTTTTTTATGTGTGGTTTTTTGTTTTGTTTTGTTTTGTTTTTTTGGCAGAGCTAGCTGAGGTTTTATTTTGGAAAAAAAAATTGAATTGTTTTGTAGCTGGAGGCATGGGCAAGGGGGGTACCCCAGGCAGTAAATTTACAAAGGTTTTTTAACATGTGTGTGTGTATATGCATATGAATGCTTAGTTACATGTGTCTGTATTAATTTGGGAAAATGGCAGGAGATATAGATACTTAATTATTAACATTGGTTACCTCTGAGGGACAAGATTAAATAGACAGAAGGGGCCAGGGGCCAGGGGCCAGGGGCCAGGGGCAGTGGCTCACGCCTGTAATCCCAGCACTTTGGGAGGCCGAGGTGGGTAGATCACGAGGTCAGAAGTTCAAGACCAGCCTGGCCAATATGGTGAAACCCCATCTCTGCTAAAAATACAAAAATTAGCCAGGCGTGGTGGCGGGCACCTGTAGTCCCAGCTACTCGGGAGGCTGAGGCAGGAGAATCGCTTGAACCCAGGAGGCGGAGGTTGCAGTGAGCCAAGATTGCACCACTGCACTCCAGCCTGGGTGACAGAGAGAGACTTGGTCTCAAAAAAAAAAAAAAAAAAAAAAAAAGGCAGAAGGAGGGACTTTTAATTTATATATATTTCTTTTTAATTGTACTATGGGATTATGGATGAATTTTACTATAATTTTTAATAATTTTCAAATAAAAGTTACCAGCATATGTACCATTCACTGCTGAAAAAAATACATATTTTTCATGTATCATAAACATTATATATTCACTTACACAACCTTATTTCTCAGTCTTCTCCAGCTGCCACTCTAATCCAGACAGTTTTTAAAACTGTTCCCTAGGTATATCATATTCATTCAAACACCCATGACTAGGCTCATGATGCTTTCCCTGACATCTAGGAAGAGCTCATTTCCCCTTACCCACTCCTAAATTATCTTTAAGATCCAACCTAACTTCTACCACTTTTTAAAGGCATTCTTTAAAGAGGGAAACAACTCATTGATTTGAATGCCTATTAAGTGCCACTTTTGTGGTTTCTAAGAAATATTATCATATATATTTAACTTAATTTGGGGTAGAGGTCCTTTAATGTTTCAACAGAGAAAATGGGATCAGGTTGATCACATAAGTTAGATAATAGTATAATCTTAGATAACAGTAAAAAATTATCTTCAACTCATTTTCTTTTTTTTGAAACGGAGTCTCACTCTGTCGCCCAGGCTGGAGTGCAATGGCGCATCTTGGCTCACCACAACCTCCACCTCCTGGGCTCAGGCGATTCTCCTGCCTCAGCCTCCCGAGTAGCTGGGATTACGGGCGCATATCACCACACCCGGCTAATTTTTTGTATTTTTAGTAGAGACGGGTTTTGCCATGTTGGCCAGGCTGGTCTCAAACTTCTGGCCTCAAGTGATCCGCCCATCTCAGCCTCTCAAAGTGCTGGGATTACAGGCATGAGTGAATTTTTAATTTTATTTATTTCATTTTTCTTTTCTATAAATTCTGTTTAGTTTTTTTTTTTCATGCCAATAATGTTCTTTTTTGTAATTTCCTATAGCCTAAAGCGGTTCCCAAGCTGTCTTTTATTTCTCTAAACATAACAAACATGGTTAAATCTGCATCCAATAAATCTAGTTTTGGCGGTCTTCAGAGATTAGTTTTTACTGCTCCTTCTTCCTTTCGGTTCTCAATTGTGGTGTCTTGTTTCTTTAATCCTTGGTTATCTTTAACTGCGTGTCCTTAAAATTTTATTTGAAGGGTTCTCAAAGCCTGGAAGAAAGGTGCTTTCCTCCAGAAGAAAATTTGTCTAGGTTACTACCATTCTGGAACTAATTTAGATTCAATTCATGGTTTGAGGTTTCCTGGACGACTTAGATAATGAGAATGTTGGCAGTGATCCCACATGAGGGCTAGTCTGTGATTTATTAACTCAATGAAAGGTTTTACTGAGTTTTTTATTCTTTCTCTTTTTTTTTCCTCCCCTGTTTTACTGGATGCCATGGTAACTCTCCCTATCATCTCATGGAAGTGGGCAGTTTTACTTCAGGTTCATCCTACCCAAAGAGTTTACCTTACGTAGTATCAATTTAATGTGGGTATTAAACTTCTGATCTTGGGAAGGCCTGAGCTTTGACTATTTCCCCTTTCATTCCAGGGGGCTGTTAAAATTGTGGCTCACAGCTGCCTGATCAGCAAAGATCTTCAAGGCAAAAGTAGCTGCAAATGCTGATGTTAATTCTCTGGCACTCATCTGCAGTTCCTCTCTCTTGCTAGTTCTTCAATACCTTTAGGATTTCTTTTTTCATATTCTATCCAAATATTTTAGTTGTTATCAGTGAGAGAACTGGCTCAAAAAACTTGGCTTGCCATTACCAGAATCAGAAGTCCCACATTTTATTAACTCTCTTCAATTTGTTGAATGAATTTCATTTATTGAATGTAATTCATTTATCAAAAAAATGAATAAATGAATGGCTTTTAAATTAAATAGATAAGTCAACTTCAAATTCCAATAATCTCATATCCTTGAACACCAGTTTCATCATTGGCAAAATAAACAGTTTGAACAAAATTATCTCTAAGATTCTTCACTATTCTAAAATACCAAGATCTATGCATACATGTAAGTATCACCTTTCAACTTTTGGGTTATATTAGCTCATTTAGTAACTATGCCAAAATAACACTCACTTTTATTCCAAGGCTTCCCTTACTCATCTTCTCAAACCCAAGAGCCAAGACACATTCTGCCACACCTTAAAGGAAAACGTAATTATTTTGAAAATTCAAATTTCCAAACACCAACAAAATACCATTAAATACTTCAATTCAAATAAGTACGTCAAGTGAGCACACAATGGCTCGAACTTATAGTCCCATCAGTTTGGGAGATCAAAGCAGATAAACTGCTTGAGGTCAGGAGGTCAAGACCAGCCAGGCAACATAGTAAGACTCTGTCTCTACAAAAATTTAAAAAATTAAAATGTTTGAAAAATTAGCTGAGTGTGGTGGTACACACCTGTAGTCCTAGTGACTTGGTAGGCTGAGGCAGGAGGTCACTTGAGCCCAGAAATTCTGTCTCTAAATAAATAAGCCAATTTAAATAAAATATAAAAACATACTATAACCCCACAAAGGTTTTTGTTGTTGTTGTTGTTGTTGTTTGTTTGCTTTTTTTTTTTGACACAAAGTTTCAGTCTGTCACCGAGATTGGAGTATAGTGGCAGGCTCACAGCTCACTGCAGCTTCAACCTCTCAGGCTCAAACGATCCTCCCACCTCAGCTCTCTATTAGTTGAATGGGGTGGCACACGAATGTGCCACCTCATTCAGCTAATTTTTTTATTTTTTGTAGAGAGAGTTTTACTATGCTGCTCAGGCTGGTCTTGAACTCCTGGGCTCAAGCGATCTGTCCACCCCGACCTCCCAAGTGCTAGGATTACAGGCATGAGCCACTATGCCCGGCACCACAAAGGTTTTGCTGGGTTTTGGTTGTTTTTTTTGTTTTTTTTTTTGAGACAGTGTCTCACTCTGTCACCCAGGCTGGAGTGCAGTAGTGCAATCATGGCTCACTGAAGCCTAGACCTCCTGGGCTCAAGCAGTCTGCATGTAGCTGGGACTGCAGGCCTGTGGCACCATGACCAGTTTTCTTGCTTTTTTTTTTTTTTTTGGTAAAGATGGAGTCTCACCATGTTGCCCAGGCTGGTCTCAAATTCCTGGGCTCAAGTGATCCACCCACCTCAGCTTCCCAAAGTGCTGGGATTACAAACATAAGCCACCAAACAAAGTTTTTAATAACAGAAAAATTATAGAGAAAATCTTTATATTCTTCTAGATAAGAGGAAAAATCGGGCCAGGTGCGGTGAATCACACCTGTAATCTCAAAGCTTTGGGAGGCCAAAGCAGATGTATCGCTTGAGACCAGGAGTTCAAGACCAGTCTGGGCAACATGGCAAGACCCCATCTCTACAAAATATACAAAAATTAGTTGGGTATGGTGGCGCACGCCTATGATCCCAATTATTAATACTTAGGAGGCTGAGGTGGGAGGATCACCTGAGGCCAAGAGGCACAGGTGGCAGGAGCTGAGATCATGCTACCACACTCTTGCCTTGGTGAGAGAGTGAGGCCCTGTTTCTAAAAAAAGAAAAGAGGAAAAATCAATAAGGTGCTTAATTCTTCTCTTGAGTCTCAATATGTTAATAAAATTTCATGTTAATGTAGAAATGTGTTTCAGTAATGAATATAAAAAGCTAATTTAGAATCACATTTAGAAAAACATTTAAAATTTGAAATTAAAAACTAAAAAATGAACCCAGTGAAAATCTCAAAAGAATTATTTTTGGAGAGAGGGGGGCCCCTAAAAATGATGTTAAAGTTCAACTGAAGAGCCAAATATTCCTGCAGAAGCTGAACTAAAAAAAAAAAAAAAAAAAGACAGAATTGCCACATTTTTTCTTAAAAAAAATAAAAGAACAGAAACAGGGACCACTAGCATTATCAAACAATATAAAGTTCCAATAATTAAAATGCTGGGTAGTGAAATAGTGATCAACAATCAAATCAGTGGAACAGAGAGAGGACCTAATAAAAAACCCTAGAATATATGGAAACATAGGATATGATACATATACAAAAGAACTGAAAATACACAGCCACAGAAAATATATATATATACACAATGTTTACAATGGCATTATCTACGCCCTCCCCGCTACCCCAAGTTTTAAAAGACAGTGTCTTGCTCTGTTGCCCAGGCTGGAGTATAGTGGCACAGTCATAGCAAACTGCAGCCTCAGTCTCCTAGGCTCAAGTGATCCTCCCGCCTCAGCCTCCCAAGAAGCTAGGATTACAGGTGCCAGACACCATGCCCATTATGGCAGCATTATTCATAACAGCCAAAAAATAGAAACAATCCCTCAACTGATGGAAACAAAAAAAATGCAAGCAACAATGTCCATCAACTGATAAACAGGTAGAAGAAATGTGGTGTAGCCATCCTAGCACTTTGAGGGGCCAAGGCAGGAAGATCGCTTAAAGCCATTAGCTCAAGATCAGCCTGGGCAACATAGCAAGACCTCATTTCTACTTATTTTATTTTTTATTTTTCTTGTACGTTTAAAATACAGTCCATCTATTTTTTTAATGTGATATATCCATACAATGGAATATTATTTGGCCATGAAAAGGAATTAAGTACTGATATATGCTACAACATGAATAAATTGTGAAAACATTGTGTTAAGTGAAATAAACCACAAAAGGCCATGTATTGTACAATTCTATTTATATAAATATTCAGAATATGAAAATCCACAAAAAGAAAGTAAATTAGTGGTTTCTAGGGACTGAGGGGAGGAGAAAATAGAGAATGAATGCTAATGGGTACAGGGTTTCTTTCTGTGGTGATAAAAATGTTCTAATATGACCAGGTGTGGTGGCTCACACCAGCACTTTGTGAAGCCAAGGTAAGCCTCACACCTCACTTTGTGAGGCCAAGGTGTAATCCCAGCACTTTGTGAGGCCAAGGTGAGCACATCACTTGAGGTCAGGAGTTTGAGACCAGCCTGGCCAACATAGTGAAACCCCGTCTCTATTAAAAATACAAAAAAATTAGCCAGGCATGGTGGTAGGTACTTGTAATCCCAGCTACTTGGGAGGCTGAGGCATGAGAATCACTTGAACCCGGGAGGTGGAGGTTGCAGTGAGCTGAGATGGCACAACGGCACTCCAGTCTGGGCAACAGAGCAAGACTCCCTCTCAAAAAAAAAAAAGTTCTAATATTACATAGTGGTGATAGGTATACAATTCTGTGAATATACAAAAAACACTGAATCGTACACTTTAAAAAGGTGAGTTTTATGGTCTATAAATTATATCTCACAATGCCTTTTTAATTTTATTTTACCTTAATTAATTTTTTTTTTTTTTTTTTTTTTTTAGAGACAGTCTCACTGTGTGGCCCAGGCTAGAGTGCAGTGGTATGATCATACATCCTCCAGCCTCAGCCTCCTGCATAGCTGGGACCACCACGCCTGGCTAATTTTTTTTAATTTTGTATAAACACAGGTTCTAACTACGTTGCCCAGGCTGGTCTTGAACTCCTGGGCTCAAGTGATGCTCTTGCCTTGGTCCCCCAGAGTGTTGAAATTACGAGTGTGAGCCACCATGCCTGGCTGATAAAGCCTTTTTTTTGTTTTTTGGGGGGCTTTTTTGAGACAAGGTCTGGCTCTATCACCCAAGCTGGAGTGCAGTGGTGCCATCTAGGCTCACTGCAATCTCTGTCTCCCAGGCTCAAGTCATCCTCCCACCTCAGCCTCCCAGATAGCTGGGACTACAGATGCACGCCACCATACCCGGCTAATTTTTGTATTTTTTGTAGAGACGGGGTTTTGTTACATTGCCCAGAGCTAGTCTCAAATTCACAAGCTCAAACAATCCACCCCCCTCGGCCTCCCAAAGTGCTAGGGTTACAAGCATAAGCCACCACACCCGGCCTGATGAAGACTTTTTTAAAACAAATACATTATAAAATAATTCCTCTGATGGTCGTGTGATTAAATGATTAAAATGGGGCAATATTTAAGTACACTAGACAAGCACTCCTTACCACCCTGAATCAGCTGGCGGGCCATAAACAAAGCAGTAGAACCAGTAGCACAGTTATTGTTGACATTGATTATAGGAATTCCAGTCATTCCCAAACTGTGATAGATAGCCCTCTGCCCACAGGTAGAGTCACCTGAATAGAAAAACAAAAATTTTAATATGGAGAATTATGGAGTTGCAATGCAACATAATACTACATTATGGGTTTTTTCAATATTATACCTTTGCCTAGCATATAACATGTGCAAGACAGTAAATATCTTAGAAACAGTTTTAACACTAACCATCATTTACTCTGCAAAAAAGACTGAAAACAGAATATATGTGCACTTTCTTTATATAATACAGAGGTAGAGAAGTAAAGAAATGATCAGTTAATAGAAAACAGTTCCATCTGGCTAAGGCTATATGATAAAGAAAGCAATATTTCATTAACACCTAAATGTCAGAAAAAAATCTTTAAACCTTGGCCAGGTGTGGTGGCTCATGCCTGTAATCCCAACACTTTGGGAGGCCGAGGCGGGCAGATCACGCGGTCAGGAGGTCGAAACCATCCTGGCTAACATGGTGAAACTCCATCTCTACTAAAAATACAAAAAATTAGCCAGGCATGGTGGCATGCACCTGTAATCCCAGCTACTTGGGAGGCTGAGGCAGAAGAATCACTTGAACCAGTAGGCAGAGGTTGCAGTGAGCCTAGATCGCACCACTGCACTCCAGCCTGGGCGACAGAGAGAGACTCGGTCTCAAATAAATAAATAAATAAATAAATAAATAAAATCTTTAAACCTATGCCAGTGATTAAAGGCCATGATTTACTTTTCATATAAAGATTCCACAACTTCAAAAAGTTTAAAAGACCCTGCATGCCAAGGCATTCCAGGAAAACATGATCCATGTTAAATACACATGTGCCTTCCTTTCCCAAGTGTAAAAAGTAAAGTAGAGGTTCCTCTTCAAAGACTTTCCTCCTCATTTAATTAGGAATAAATAGTAACTTCTCTTAGAAGCAAAATTTATTCAAAGACCTGTGCTAACATTCTTAAATATCTGCTAGCCATGGTAAAGAAATCATTACACTTTACATTCTTAGCTCCCACAATTTAGCCTAAATATTTGCCCTGGCATGCTTATACTGGCCCAAGCAAGCATTAAGTCATAGCCTGTTCCTCTTCCTTATTTGAAGGTGTTTTTACCTTTCTCAGCATTCCACAAGTTACTTCCTCCTTCCTTTGTTCTCCTCTGCCTTTGCCTCTTTTAAAAAGTTCTAAGTTGCTAGCCAATCAGGACAAATACAGAATGTGAGGTCCCGTTCCAGCCAATGGAACTGGACACAGCAGTAGGGTGGACGCATCAGGTTATAAATGACCCTGTCTCCTTTGCTCAGTGTACTCTCGTGGCAAAACTGCTGGCGAGTGTACCCTTTCTGCAGGAAGTTAAAATGGCCTTGCTGAGTAAATTAAATTTATGTTCAAGTGCTATTTCTTTATGGCACCAAGGAACAAGCATTTCAAACACAAGTAACATGACCACCAAGGTAGACATGCTGGAGCAGTGTGATGGGAATATCTGAAGGTACAGGCTCCAGGAGTCTTCAGCAAAATCAGGAAAGTTAGGGATCTGCTTTTCAATAAATATATTCTGCATCCCTTTAACCCAGTACGTTTCCCTTCTAGAATTCTCTTGATATCTTGATATCTCAAAGAAATGAATCATAGATATGCACAAATATTCATCTACAGTAACACCTACTATAGTATTTTAATAATACTGTATATATTCATAGAATTTTTATAACAACTAGAAATTAGAAAATATCATTACTACTTCTAAATAAGCTGTAGTAGATCTTCAAGAGTAGAATATCATATAATCATTTAAAATGATGTAGGGGTTCCCACACACACCTTACCCCTTTGCCAAAAACAAAAAAAAAAAAATGTTGTTGGGGTTGGGGGAAACAGAGAGATGTTAGTCAAATGGTACAAACTTTCAGTTATAAGATGAACGAGTTCTGTGGATCTAACGTACAGCATGGGTGGTAATTAATGGCTAATTAACTGGATTGTGGCAATTATTATACAATATATACATAAATCATCTTATTTTATACCTTGAATATATTCAATATTTGACAATTAAGTATTTTTTAAATTCTGTGAAAAGACTGGAACTTTTAAATATCCATTAAAAGGGGATTGATAAAATAAATTATAATACATTTATTCAATGAAACAGTATGCTTTTTTTTTTTTTTTTTTTTGAGATGGAGTCTTGCTCTGTTGCCCAGGCTGGAGTGCAGTGGCACAATCTCGGCTCACTACAACCTCTGCCTCCTGGGTTCAAGAGATTCTCCTGCCTCTCCCTCCTGAGTAGCTGGGACTACAGGCGCATTTTTTGTATTTTTAGTAGAGGAAGGGTTTCACCGTATTAGCCAGATGGTCTCGATCTCCTGACCTCGTGATCCGCCTGCCTCGGCCTCCCAAAGTGCTGGGATTATAGGCGTGAGCCACAGTGCCTGGCCATATTTTTAAAAAGGCCAAAGAAGATCTTTACAGTATAATTTGGAATAGTCACCAAAAGAAAAATTACACTAGGTTGACACACAAGGGAAATCTTTAAATAGTGGTAATTCCCTTAAATCAGACTTTGAATTCTGAGATTTTTTTCTTTTTTCTTCAATACAAATATAATTGAATGAATTCTGAGTTTTTGAGGGTTAAAATTCACAAATGCCTCCGCATTGTTTGTATAGTTGCTGCTAGATTTAGGTAAAAAAATTTTAGAATACACAGTTTAATACATACCAAAAACATAGCCAACACATGCCTGGTCCACTGCTGAATAAGGGATCTGTGCATCAGCTAAAGCCTTCTTGCCTATAAAAACGAAAGGTTTTTATCAAAAAGTGCTTTAAGTATTTGTTTTAGGAGAGTGAAAATTAAGTTTAGAGTTTTCTCAAAGTAAACTACCTCTATATAGTCTATGCTCAATTCAAATGACAAATCCTTCATCAAATCATGTCACATCTCTACTTTCAGAAGTAATCATTTTTTCCTCTAAGCTACTGCATCACTTTTCCGTATCTCCTTTTTGGTACTTAACACTTTCTGTTATAACTTCACATCTATCTACATTAAATCTGAAGAGTCTTACAGCTCCTTAATGACAAGGTCCTTGTCCCTTGTCTTATTCATCCCTGTAGCTCCACTGCACATCTAGAGGGTAAAATGAGAAAGACTGTCATTACTGGGAGCAGATAGCACTAATGTGCTCATCTTACAAAGAAAAGATCAAGAGGTGACTCTGTCTATGGAACAAGAAAGAGAGCTTAAGGATGCTATCAAAAGTGGCAGAAATAACTAGTAGAGGAACTGAGAAAAATTATGTAAGTAAATGAGAAAAATTATGTAAGTAAACTGGAAAGAGGACAGTGAGGTTGAAAAAAAAGTGTGAGCTAAATCCTCATTTATGACAGTGAGCAGCAAACAGACATCTAAAACTGACAAATCAAAAACTTGAAGTATTTAGATAATCACCAGAAGAACGAAAGCAAAACGAGTTAAAAGAAGTTGTCCATGGGGAACAGGCCTGAGAATTATAAGCCACTCTTCATTCTTTTTTTTTTTTTTTTTTTTTTTTTTTTAAGGACAACATCTCTCTCTGTCACTGGAGTGCAGTGGTGTGATCATAACTCACTGCAGTCTCAAACTCCTGGGCTTAGGCGATCCTCCCACTTTGGCTTCCCAAAGTGAGGGGATAAGAGACATGAGTCACCACACTCGGCCCTCTATTCCTGTATTTTCCGTTTTTTTTTTTTTTTTTTCGAGACAGAGTCTTGCTCTGTCGCCCAGGCTGGAGGGCAAGGGCGCGATCTCGGCTCACTGCAACCTCCACCTCCCAGGTTCAAGTGATTCTCCTGCCTCAGCCTCCCAAGTAACTGGGATTACAGGAATAATAGGCGCCTACCACCACACTACTTTTTGTGTTTTTAGTAGAGAGGGGATTTCGCCATGTTGGCCAGGCTGGTCTCAAACCCCTGACCTCAAGTGATCCACCTCCCTTGGCCTCCCAAGGTGCTGGAATTACAGGTGTGAGCCACCAAGCCTGGCTTTTTTTTTTTTTTTAAACATATAAATGTATTTGAAATTTTTTTAATTCACAAAGATACTAATTATAATAATCAATTATTATAATTTATGAAGTAATTGGTTACAGAATTGGGTTAGTCAAAAAATGAGTTATCTTTTCCTGCTTAACGTATGGACAAAAAACAAATGTCTTATAATAATGTTTATGAGACTATGTTGAGAAGAACATTCTCATATGTTGCCAATGAGACTCTACGGGTGTAAACGCTGAAAATTAATTTGGCAAGAATCTTGGTTTCACACAGTGGCTTACTGTACTTTAGGAGGCTGAAGTGGGAGGATCACTTGAGCCCAGGAGTTTTGAGACCAGCCTGGGACCCCATCTCTACAAAAAATAAAAATTAGCCAGGTGTGGTAGCATACACCTGTGGTCCCAGGTACTTGGGAAGCTGAAGAGAGAGGATCACTTGAATCCTGGAGGTCAAGGCTACAGTGAGCCATGATCTCACCACTGCACTCTAGCCTGGGCAACAGAGCCAGACCCTGTTTCAAACAAACAAAAAAAAGAGGCCAGGCATAGTGGCTCATGCCTGTAATCCTAGCACTTTGGGAGACCAAGGCAGGAGCATTCCTTGAGCCCAGGACCTCAAGACCAACCTGGGCAATATGGCAAAACCCTGTCTCTACCAAAAATACAAAAATTAGGGGGGCGTGGTGGTGTGCGTCTGTGGTCCCAGCTACTTGGGAGGCTGAGGTAGGAGGATTGCTTGAGCCCAGGAGGTCAAGGCTGCAGTGAGCCATGATCACACTACTGCATTCCAGCCTAGGCAACAGAGGGAGACCATGTCTCAATTAAAAAAAAAAAACAAAAAAACTTAAAAATGATCATATTCACTATTCCTGCAATTCCACTTCTAGGCTCTTTCCTCAAAAATAAACAGAGATTAGAACAAACATCTATTTAGCAAAATGTTCATTACAATTTTTCTAAAATATCAAAAACTTGGGAACCTAAATGTCCAACAAAAATAATGGCATATATATATATATATTATGCACAACTTAAACATTCTTTTCCAAACAATTTTTTTTTTGAGACACAGCCTCACTCTGTTGCCTAGGCTAGAGTCCAGTGGTGCTAACTCAGCTCACTGCAAGCTCCACCTCCTGGGTTCCCACCATTCTCCTGCCTCAGCCTCCTGAGTAGCTGGGACTACAGGCGCCCACCACCAATCTGGCTAACTTTTTGTATTTTTAGTAGAGATGGAGTTTTCACCGTGTTAGCCAGGATGGTCTCGAACCCTTGACCTCAGGTGATCTGCCTGCCTTAGCCTCCCAAAGTGCTGGGATTACAGGCATGAGTCACCACACCTGGCCCTTTTCCAAACAATTTTAAGTAGAAGGAGAAATGCTCATGAAAAAATAAATTTCAGAAATTAGGATACAAGCTGTGCACAGTGGCGAGTACCTGTAGTCCCAGCTACTCAGGAGGACTGCTTGAGCCCAGGAGTTTGAGGTGGAGTGTACTATGACTGGACCTGTGAATAGCCACTGCACTCCAGCCTGGGCAGCATAGTGAGATGTTGTCCTTAAAAATATCTAAATAAATAAATAAATAGGATACAAAACTACAAATGTGATCCCATATAGCCATAGGGGAAAAATGCTAAAATAGAATAACACCAAGATACTAATAGTGACTAGGTCTGGGTCAAAATTTTGTTTTCATTAGTATATAATTATTCGTTACAATAAAACACATGCATTGCTCTTATAATCAGTGGGAAAGAATGAGTTACAAAAAGGTATGTTTAGCTGGTACTCTGTACCTCCTTTAAATGCTAACAGCAGGCCAGACACGGTGGCTCACGCCTGTAATCCTAGCACTTTGGGAGGCCGAGGCGGGTGGATCACCCGAGGTCAGGAGTTCAAGACCAGCCTGGACAACAGGGTGAAACCCCATCTTTACTAAAAATACAAAAGTTAGCTTCAGGTGCTCCGCCCACCTCGGCCTCTCAACGTGTTGGGATTACAGGCGTGAGTCACCATGCCCGGCCAGATTTCTTATTACTAGTCAATCCCCAGAGTTAATTTCAAACATCATTAACTTTACCTCAGTATTACCATTTTATAATCAAAATATTATACACACACTAAAGTAATTTCAAATTTTTTAATGAAATAAAAGAAATTGGTCAAAAAATATAGAGAAAGCTGATCAAAGCATCTCCCACTTCAAAGACAGGCAGAAACTATTTGGAGGCATCAATTGAGAGGAGAACATTTAACAACGCAGAAGATAAACATTAAATGAATAATGTCTGCCCTGAGAACCACTGCAATTAATCAAATCTCTTGAACCTTCCTTTTGGAGAACAGACATGCTCTGATTCCTTGTATAACATTTAAGTATTGAGTTGAATAATCAGAGTTGATGTTGAAGGAATAGTTAGAAAGAGAAAAAAGAAAACAAAAAAAAAGTTGAAGCAAAATCTAAATATATATGCACTGGATTTCCCCATAATATTACTTATGGTAATAAGCAGGAACATCTAAGGAATAAACACAGTAACTCCTTTTGGGTTGCCTGGCAACAACGTAGCAGGAATTGAGTTGGGGAGGCTCCCTAGGAAAAGGACTGTGCCTAACAACTTATGGGATGAAAGAGAAGGTCTCCAGGTGTTGACAGCAGGTATTTCCCAGAATTCCCCTAAACAACCGGCACCTAAGCTTAGAGTACTTGCCCCCAAACCAAAACATTTATTTAGGTGTTCCAGCACTGCTGCCCCTCTCTATCACCAGCACCACCTCTAGCTGGCAGAGTTCCACCCAAAGAAGGAGGGTAAGTAAGGAGGTCTCTATACCATGGCTAGTACAAAGCTGACTGCCCGAAATGAACCACTGGTAAAGCATCCAGGAAGCAACTGGCTATAAAAGCTGCTCGCAAGAGTGTGCCCTCTACTGCAGGGGTGAAGAAACCTCATCATTACAGGCCTGGTACTGTGGCACTCGGTGAAATCAGACGTTATCAGAAGTCCACTAAACTGATTCGCAAACCTCCCTTCCAGCGTCTGGTGCAACAAATTGCTCAGGACTTAAAAACAGATTGGCACTTCCAAAGTGCAGCTATTGGTGCTTTGCAAGAAGTAAGTGAGGCCTATCTCGTTGGCCTTTTTGAAGACACCAACCTGTGCACTATCCATGCCAAATGAGTAACAACAGACATCAAGCTAGCATACTACATATGCAGAGAATGTGCTTAAGAACCCACTATGGGCGGGGTGCGGTGGCTCACGCCTGTAATCCCAGCACTTTGGGAGGCCGAGGTGGGCAGATCACGAGGTCAGGAGTTTGAGACCAGCCTGGCCAACATGGTGAAACCCCATCTCTACTAAAAATACAAAAAATTAGCTGGGCAAGGTGGGGGGTGCCTGTAGTCCCAGCTACTCAGGAGGCTGAGGCAGGAGAATAGCGTGAACCCGGGAGGCGGAGCTTGCAGTGAGCCGAGATTGCACCACTGCACTCCAGCCTGGGCGACAGAGCAAGACTCCGTCTCAAAAAAAAAAAAAAGAACCCACCATGTTGGGAACCATTTCATTCTCAAAAACAAAAATATTCTGTTCTTGTTATTGGTAGTTCTGAACATTAGATTTTTTTTCCATGGAGTCAAAGGGCACCTAAGCATATGATTGCAAGTGGAAAAATAGAGTACAGAAATCAAGTATTGGTAGTTTTTCCATTTTCATGCGTGTGTGAATTTTTAGTATAACTGCAGGGATAAAAAGAAGCCCGTTAGGCTGGGCGCAGTGGCTCACACCTGTAATCCCAGCACTCTGGGAGGCCGAGGTCGGTGGATCACCTGAGGTCAGGAGTTCGAGGCCAGCCTAGCTAACATGGTGAAACCCCGTTTCTACTAAAAATACAAAAAAATTAGCCTGGCGTGGAGGTGTGTGCCTGTAATCCCAGCTACTCGGGAGGCTGAGGCAGGAGAATCACTTGAACCTGGGAGTCCGAGGTTGCAGTGAACTGAGATCATGCCATTTGCACTCTACCTTGGGCAACAAGAGTGAAACTCCATCTCAAAAAAAAAAAAAAAAAAAAACCTGTTAAATTTTTCTGGCAATGCCAGCATTTGGATTTTTTAAAAATAATTAAATTTCTTATTGATGGCAAAAAAAAAATTCTTTATATATATCATGTAAAGAAGCTTTCATACTTGTCCCCTTTTTTTAAAAAAAGAGAGGTGGGGGAGAAGAAGAACAATGGATGGGGATCTCTCTGCTACAACTCAGACCCACAGTGCAGCCAGATGCAGCCTGGTCGTGGCACGTCTCTAAAGAATGCTGAATGCTTAGAGAACCAGGACCCATACACCTGTAGATCCTTCTCCCTGTTAGTTCCACTCACACCAATATTCACCCGTCTTTTGCTCAAAAGTACTAATACTCATTATAATAAACAGTAACAAACTGCATCACCTCCTTTAGTCATGCAGTAATCTAGTGACAGAAAAAGAATTCTCTATGTTGGCTCAGTGAAGTAAAGAAAACCACCATACAGGTATTTAATACATTTGGAATGTGATTATCCCTTTTCCAGGAAAGGAAGACACTAATTTTGTTAGAACTCCTGAAGTTAACACACACTAGAATGATGTTATCCCTTTTAATGACCCTACCTCTCTCTCCCACAGATCCCTTAACCATCTCAACACATATTTGGATAGCACATAAAATTGTAAGCCACTCTCTGCTCTGGCTATGTAGCTGCTAAGAATGCCCAAGCTCTTTTCCTTTGTAGTGAGTCACTAGACATTTCTCTGTACGGGTTCTTCTCCCTTGACTGGGCTTCCTTTTGTGCTTGCAAGGCTGCCCCATCCATGAAATCAAGACAGACCACATAATAAACTATGAATGTTCAAAGATCTAAATGTTCTATGTTACCTGCTTCTTCTGCCAAGTCAGGGTAGTCTCTTGAATTCTCAGCTCCAGGCTTCACAAACTAGAGATATAGAAAGAGATAATAAATACAAACAAGTATAGTTACATTTTTTTTTTTTTTTGAGACGGAGTCTTGCTCTGTTACCCAGGCTGGAGTGCAGTGGCATGATCTCGGCTCACTGCAACCTCTGCCTCCTGGGTTCAAGCCATTCTCCTGGCTCAGCCACCCCAGTAGCTGGGATTACAGGTGCACACCACCATGCCCAGCTAATTTTTGTATTTTTAGTAGAGACGGGGTTTCACCATGTTGGCCAGGCTGGTCTCAAACTCCTGACCTTGTGATCTGCCTGCCTCGGCCTCCCAAAGTGCTGGGATTACAGGTGTGAGCCACTGCGCCCAGCCAAGTATAGTTACATTTTTTACACAATAAAAATCTATTCATTCACTACTCATTCAAACAAAAAACACATTATTATTAGACTCTAATAATAAATAATATAAAATCCTTGCCCTCAGAGTGCTTCCAGTCTAACCTAAGACAGACAGTTACACTACAGTGTCAGAAGTACAGAATGTCTTGACAGAGACATCTACCCAGACTTGGAGGGAGGAAAAGAAAGGCTTCCCAGAGAAACTGCCATTTAAATTAAGTTCTTATGGATGAGTAGCAGTTAGCAAAGTGAAAGAGAAGGAAATTTTGGAGTAAAGATCTAGAAGTAAGAGAATACAGCAGTTTTTTCTCTGTGGAAGAACTGTAAATAATTTGGTATGACATAGGTTAAAACATAAAGTGGAAAGTGTTAAGGATGGCTGGGTGTGGTGGCTCCCGCCTGTAATCCCAGCACTTTGGGAGGCCGAGGCGGGAGGATCACTGAGGTCAAGAGTTCAAGACCAGCCTGGCCAACATGGTAGAACCCTGTCTCTACTAAAAATACAAAAATTAGCCAGGCATGGCGGTATACGCCTGTGATCCCAGCTCCTCAGGAGGCTGAGGCAGAAGAATCACTTGAACCAGGAGGCAGAGGTTGCAGTGAGCCGAGATAGTGCCACTGCACTCCAGCCTGGATGACAGAATGAGACTCTGTCTCCAAAAATAAAATAAAATAAAATAAAAGTGATATGAACATAAAAGTACCTTAGGTCCAAACAATGATAACAACTAATATTTATTGGGCGCTTACTGTGGTATGCATTGTGTTAAGCATTTCACATGTATTTACTCATTTAATCCTCACAACCATCCTAAAAGGTAGGTTCCGTGCATTACAGATAAGAAAACTAGGACACAGAGAGATAAACAACTAACCCAGGGGCATAGAGCTAATAAGTAATGGAGCTGAAAGTTTAGTCTAGGTCTGGAGCCAACTCACAAGGGACCCTTTATGCCCTGCAATGCTGGTCTGGGCTTTATCCTGAAGACAGTGTTTTTGTTTGTTTGTTTTTTGAGACAAGGTCTTGCTCTGTCACTCAGGCTGGAGTGCAGTGGTATGATCACAACTTACTGCAGCCTCAACCACCCTGACTCAAGCAATCCTCCCACCTCAGCTCCCTTTGCACCCACAGTAGCTGGGACTACAGGCACGCACCACCACGCTAAGTTAATTTTTGTATTTTTTGTAGAGATGGGGTTTTGCCATGTTGCCCAGGCTGGTCTCAAATTCCTGGGCTCAAGTGATGCTCCTGCCTCAGCTTCCAAAGTGCTGCAATTACAGGTGTGAGCCACCATGCCCAGATGACAATGTTTTTTAAAATGAGACTGGAATAAAACAACAATCAGATACCACTATTAATTAGAATGGCAAAAATCCAAAACACTGACATCAAATGCTGGCAAGGATATGGAGCAATAGGAAGTTCGGCAATTTCTTACAAAACTAAACATGTACAGGTTGGGCATGGTGGCACACATCTGTAATCCCAGCACTTTAGGAAGCCGAGGTGGGTGGATCATTTGAGGTCAGGAATTCGAGACCAGACTGGTCAACATGATGAAACCCTGTCTCTACTAAAAATACAAAAATGAGCTGGTCATGGTGGCCAGCACCTATAATCCCAGCTACTCGGGAGGCTGAGACAGGAAAACCCAGGAGGCAGAGGTTGCAGTGAGCCAAGATTGTGCCATTGCACTCCAGCCTGGGCAACAGAACAAGACTCAGTTTCAATAAATAAATAAATAAAGCAAAAATAAAGCACACACAATACACATATGAATTAGCAATAGCACTCCTTGGCATTTACCCAAAGGAGTTGAAAACTTATGTCCATATAAAAACCTACAAATGGGTGTTTTTTGTTGTTGTTTTGTTTTGTTGAGATGGAGTCTCACTCTGTTGCCCAGGCTGGAGTGCAGTGGTGTGATCACAGCTCACTGCAGCTTCAACTTCCCGGGCTCAAGCAATCCTCCCACCTCAGCCTCCTGAGTAGCTGAGATCACAGGTGCTCATAATCATGCCTGGCTAATTTTTAAGTTTTTTTGTAGAGATGGATCTCACTATGTTGCCCAGGCTGATCTCGAACTCCGGGGCTCAAGCAATCCTCCTGCCTCAGCCTCTCAAAGTGCTGGGATTACAGTCACGAGCCACTATGATGGAACCACACAGATGTTTATACTAGCTTTATTCATAACTGTCAAAACTTGGAAGCAATCAAGATGTCCTTCAGGAGGTAAAAGGATAAACTGTGGCACATCCAAACAATGGAATATTATTCAGTGCTAAAAAGAAATGAGCTATCAAGCTATGAGAAAACATGGAAGAACCTTAAATACATATCATATTAAGTGAAAGAAGACAATCTTAAAAGACTACAAACTATGATTCCAAGTAAAGGACACTCTGGAAAAGGTAAAATTTATAGAGACAGTAAAAAGATCAGTGGTTGCCAGGTGCTGGTGGGAGAGAAGGATGAATATGTGGAACACAGAGGATTTTTAAGGCAGTGAAACTATTCTGTATGATCCTATAACACTGGATACATGTCATTACACATTTTTCAAAATCCATAGAATGTACAATACCAAGAGTGAACACTAAAGTAAATTATGGTCTCTGGGTGATAATGATGTGTCAATGTATGTTCATCGATCATAACAAATGTATCACTCTGGGTGTGCCCTTGCTGATAGAGGGAGAGGCTATATATGGAGGGATAGGGGAAACACATGGGAAATCTCTGTACCTTGTACTCAATTTTGCTGTAAACCTAAAATTTCTCTTAAAAGTAGTCTATTTTTAAAAAGAGAAAGAGACTGGGATGACGAGACTTGCATTTTAGATCATCCTAGACACAATGTGAAGAAATGATGAAAGGAGCATGGCGGGAGGCAGTGAGACCAACTAGCATAATTCTGAAACAGGCCAGGTGAGGGCTAAGACAGAAGCAAAAAAGAAAGAAATAGACCTCAGAAATACAAGGGAAGTAAAATCTACTGAACTTGATGACTGATTAGGTAAGATGTAGTGCTTTGCTGGTGAGTGGTCACATTAAAGAGAAATGGCTTTGAATATTCTTTTGACTGCAAACCAAAATAAAATACATTTTACAACACAACCCAGTACACGCATATATACATACATAAGTGAAGCAAAACTTTCATGAAATATTTATTCTTATTTCAAGGTAGGATACCAACAGGACTTGTCTCCTGAGCCTCAGTCACTACTGATCACCCTGCTGATCAAAAAAGGATGTGACAAATAAACCAGCTGAAATCAGCTAAGACCAAGATGGCAATGAAAGCAACCTCTAGTTGCCCTCATTGCTCATTATATGCGAATTATAACACATTTACATAAGACACAGCCACCAACAGCATGACAATTTACCTACTATGCTGTGGCAATGCCTCAGAAGTTATATGACTCTGGGGACTCCCTGCCCCTTTTCCAGAAAGTTCATGAATAACCCACCCCCCTTTTAACAGTAGGTATAAATATAGCTGTCCAGCAATCCACTGGGCTACTCTGGGCTGCTCTGCCTATGCGACAGCCCTGCTGTGTCTATGGAGCAGCCATTTTGCTGTACCTTGCTGTTCTAATTTGCTTTCTTTCACTGTTGGCTCACTCTAAGTGAAGCTGAGAACCCTCCCAAGATAAGCCCCACTTTGTGGGCTTGCTGGCATCAGTATTTCCTGTTCTATTTCAATTTTTAATTCTAAGACAACTTTCTAAATTGAGTTCACGACTCACTAATGGGTCACAAAAGTTTGAAACATGATATGTGACTTAAATGCCACATTTCATTGCACAGTACCAAAACACTTAATGTGTTCCTATCTCTGACCCATCCCAATTCTTCTCCATAATTCTTGAATTACAGAAACCTTTTTAAGGTTTAACCAGAATTAATCCAGCATATTAAAGGTCAGAAGTCAGAATAATAGTAACCCTTTGAAGGCAAGGGGTCAGTGGCTGGAAGAGGACACAAGAGGGCCTTCTGAGGTGCTAGCAATGTTCTATTTATATTTTATTTTTTCATAAAAGAAATGCAAAAACAAAAGATAAAGACAAAAAGTACCACAAACTTTATAATAAAAACAGCAATCCTGTTTCACTACTCTGCACCCAGTAGTCTTATTTGCTCCCAAAACATCCACTTTCAATTCTTTCAGATATTTCTTGTTAGAAACTGACATGTTTCTAAATATCCTTCTTATACTACTATTTCTTTCTTCATCAATGTAAGAAGTCATATCATAATCTCCTATAAGGACCAATAAGGATCAGACCTTTTCTGCCACCCCACATATACATTAGTTTACATATCTCTTACCCTTCTTACATAGCAGAATCACAATTTGGTGTTAATTTAATTCTCGGTGTTTGCTTTATTAAGTACATTTTTTTCAACTGCTGGGCCAGTTGTCTACTTATGATTCCATTTCCTTACTGTACAATTTTTAGGATTTTTTTTTCTAGAGTTAAATGCATATCCTAATGAATTGTTTTAAGGCAAACACCCTTGCTACCATCACCCAGGTCAAGAAATAGAACTTTGCCCTCCACCCCAGAAACTCCTCCATGTACTCTGTAGCAATCTCAATCCCCACTCTACCCCCAAAGTAATTACTATCCCGATTCTTACAGTAATTACTCTCTTGGAATATTTCATACTTTTATCACCCAAATACGCATCCAAAGACATTATAGTTTAGTCTTGCCCATTTATTTTAAAAAAGTGTCTTTTAATTCTCTTTTAATCTACAGGCTTCCCTCTACTACTTTCTTTTCCTTTCAAATACAGTAAGATGTGTCTGTTGAAGAACCAAAGCATTTGACCTACAGTTTCCCAGAGTCTGGATTTTGCAGATTGCATACTCATGTAGTTGAATGTGTACTTCTGTTCTCTGTATTTCCTGTAAATTGGCAACTGGATCCAAAATTTGATTGTACATTCTATCCCTTTGACAAAACTATAGGTGGTAGTGTATTCTTTCATTAGGAAGCATATATCTGATTGTTTCTCTGTGTTGTTAGCAGCAGAGACTACATCCAGCGATTCTCAAACTTCTTAGTCTCAGGACCCCTTTACGCTCTTGAGGATTATTGGAAATGGCAAAGAGCTTTCGATTATGAAGGTTATATCTACCAATAGCTATCATAATAGAACTTAAAACTAAAGACATTTTAAAAGATTTTCCAATTCATCAAAAACAATAAATCCATTACATGTTAACATAAATAATTTCTATGAAAAATAATTGTATTTTCCAAAATAAAGTGGGAAGAATGCCATTGTTTAGCATTTCTGCAATTATCTTTAATTCAGGAGACAGCTGAATTCTCATATCTGATTCTTCATTCAAACTTTAGCATTATGTTGTTTTAGTTGAAGTCTATGAAGTACATCATGTGACCTAACACAGACATGTAGTTGGAAAAGGGAAGAGTATTGGAATTGTGGATATTCTTTTTTTTTTTCAAGACAGGTTCTTGCTCTGTCACCCAGGCTGCAGTACAGTGCCATGAACATAGCTCCCTGCAGCCTCAAACTCCTGGGCTCGAGCAATCCTCCTGCCTCAGCCTCCTGAGTAGCTGGTACTACAAGCATGCACTACTGCACCCAGCTAATTTTTCTATCTTTTGTAGAGACGGGGTCTTGCCATGTTGCCCAGACGGGTCTCAAACTCCTGGGCTCAAGTAAGCCTTCAACCTCAGCCTCCCCAACTGCTGGGATTACAGGCATGAGCCACTCACTAGACCCAACCGAGTGTGGACATTCCTTTTTTTTTCTTGAGACAGGAGGTTTCTTTTTTCTTTTTTTTTTTTTTTGACTGAGTCTCGCACTGTGGCTGAGGCTGAAGTGCAGTGGCACAATCTCAGCTCAATGCAACCTCCACCTCCTGGGTTCAAGTGATTCTCCTGCCTCAGCCTCTCGAGTAGCTGGGATTACAGGCGTCCACCACCACGCCTGGCTAATTTTTGTATTTTTAATAAAAACGGGGTTTTGCGGTTTTGCCATGTTGACCAGGCTGGTCTCGAATTTCTGACCTCAGGTGATCCACCCTCCTTGGCTTCTCAAAGTGCTGGGATTACAGGCATGAGCCACCACGCCCCGCCAAGTGGAGGTTTCTTTTTTTATTTTATTTTTTTGAAACGGAGTTTTGCTCTTGTTGCCCAAGCTGGAGTGCAATGGGGCGATCTCGGCTCCCTGCAACCTCCGCCTCCCGGGTTCATGCAATTCTCCTGCCTCAGCCTCCTGAGTAGCTGGGATTATAGGTGCGCGCCACCATACCCAGCTAATTTTTTGTATTTTTAGTAGAAACGGAGTTTCACCACGTTAGCCAGGCTGGTCTCAAACTCCTAACCTCAGGTGATCCGCCCACCTCGGCCTCCCAAAGTGCTGGGATTACAGGCGTGAGCCACCGCTCCCGGGCCGACGTTTCTTAAAAGTTAGGCCGGGCGCGGTGGTTCACGCCTGTAATCCCAGCACTTGGGAGGCCGAGACGGGCGGATCACGAGGTCAGGAGATCGAGACCATCCTGGCTAACACCGTGAAACCCCATCTCTACTAAAAATACAAAAAAATTAGCCGGGCGTGTTGGCGGGCGCCTGTAGTCTCTACTAAAAATACAAAAAATTAGCCGGGCGTGTTGGCAGGCACCTGTAGTCCCAGCTACTCGGGAGGCTGAGGCAGGAGAATGGCGTGAACCCAGGAGGTGGAGCTTGCAGTGAGCCAAGATCGCACCACTGCACTCCAGCCTGGGGGACAGAGAGAGACTCCGTCTCAAAAAAAAAAAAAAAAAAAAAAAAAAAAAAAAAAAAAAGTTAGCTGGAATGTAGAATTTGAAACCGTCTATCAATGAATTTTTCATACTCTGTTATAATAAAATATTGTATTTGAATGGATCTCTTACTGATCCATTCAATGGATCCATAAATGAGTGGATTATTATTTAAAGAATGCAGAACATCATCCATTGGTTTTTTTGGAAAAATATCGGCTCCATGAGTTATACGGCCCTTTCAAATTTTGACTTTATATAATTCCAAAAACTCACCTTTGTTAATATTACCTGTCCCGTTAAAAAACAAAAAAAAAATTTTTAATAGTAGGAAGTTATGAAGCAGATACAAGTTTTCTAAAATTCTAATTTTCACTTGAAAGCCCAAATTTTATCTTTAGAAACAAACACTTCAGTTGTTTTCCTTGACGTGACTGCTGACTTCATTCGTTTTTGAGAAAATGTCTGTAAAATACTCAAGTATGAATTAACCATCACATGTGTGCCATTTGTTCTCTCAAGTAAAATGTGTTTCATGAAAAAAAGTAGTTGGTTTAGCTCATAATGCAAATCATCTCTTAAGGGTTGAGATTCAATAAAATTAACCAATGTTTTCTGCTTCATCGAGGTCTTAAGTGAAAATTAGTGCTTTTCTTTTTCCTGTGAATGCATAAGTGCATGACAAATATAGTGACTACTAGTTTGGTGCCAGTGCTTTGATTCATGCTAAGATGCCAACAGTGTTACCCACCATTACTTTTGCACCATCAGTGTAAATGTCAACATACAATGAAAATGGCAAACAATATCTTAGTATTATTATGAATAGTCTTGATCTTTCAGGTCCCCTCAAAGGGTCTCAGAGACTACCCCAAGGACTCCACAAACCGTATTTTGAGAACCCCTGCTAGATCAATTCATTGGCAGCTGTCAAAAATGATGGTAATGTTCTGTCATTTCTTTTTCAGTTATTACTTAAATACGTTTGATAGAAGACACTACTCCTCATCTACTATTTAATTATCCAATGATACAGTTCATACAGGAAAAACAATAAACATATGATTGTTTCCCTTTGTCAATTTTCAAGACAATGAGTAGGTTCCCTGTTATCCTCCAAAGACTATAATTAGTTGATTTTTAAAATATTATCACAAACTCTTGTTTAAACATACCTGATGGGGTTTTTTTTCTTAATTTTTGATTTTTATTTTTTTAGTAGAGATGAGGTTTTGCCATGTTGCCCAGGCTGGTTTCAAACTCCTGGGCTTAATTAAGCCTCGGCCTCCCAAAGTGCCAAGATTACAGGCATGAGCCACCATGCCCAGCCTGATGGGTTTTAATCAACTGCAATTACTATCTCTTTTAAAGCTCAAATTTTCTCAACTTTGGTAAGTGAGAACTACAGGTTGGCTCCTGAATCCTTTCGGCATCACTCAAGTAGGCTTTGATAACTTCCTTGCAATTAGCAGTGACAAAATATTCTAGACTCACATTGTACACTTCCTGCCCCATGGGGAATAAGCAATTTCTGCAACCAGCCATTTCTTCTAGTAGAAAAAGATATTTTAAGATCACAATGGTATGGATGTAACAGATTTGGTCATTATTTCTAAGCTTCTTCAGTGGACAGAGCCAGAAAAACATTTAAAGATGAAATACTAATTAAAGTTTATACTAATACTTTTTCAGAATTACAGAATTTTTTACCTACTCCCTTCTGTATTACATCTGTATCTCTTTTCTCCTCCACCAAGAATCTTAATTCTCAAGCACCAAGGGATGAAGTAGAATTATATTTATTTACATATTTTAAGCCATGTTACACATATAATAATCTCATAACAATACTAATGCTAATGCTCAGTAACATAATTACTGAGTTTAATTTGCCTAACTCATGTATTTCATTTGCTTTTTATGTGCCTAACTCCAACTCTAATATACTCACCTCTAAAATCTCTCTTAAAACCATAGTCCACATGGTCAAAATGTTTTTTTCTAGAGACCTCCCTCCTGGACCCATCCAGAACATATTCCAAACTGAGTCATTGCACAGATGCCACCCTGGGGCTTTTCTCACTATTCTATGTTACCCTGTTTCCAGGATCCAGTATCTTCTTCCTTGGTTTACGCCGCCATTTTGGTGGACACATTCATTCTCTAATTAGCTTTGTGAGTAGGGATGTGTAAGAAGTTAATTTTTTAGCACTTACATTAAAAAATTTTTTTCTACCCTCAAATTTGGATTATTTATTAGGGAATAGAATTCTAGGATCAAAAATTTTGCTTAAGAATTTTGAAAGCATTATTCTGTCATTTGTAGCATCCAAGGTTTCTGTTGAGAAATCTAATGCTACGGTTCTGATATTTCAGGATAATGTGCCTTGATATGAGCTTTCTTTTTATTCATCGGATTGGCTTTTCAAACTGAAAAATTCAGTTCGGAAAATTCTCTATTATTTCTCTGATAATTTCCTAGTTTCTATGTTCTCAGTTCTTTTTCTAGAACTCATTAACTAGATATTGGATCTTTTTTATTAAACATTTAATTTTATTTTCTCTCCTAATACCCATTTCTTTGTTCTTGCTCCATTGTCCAGATTTCCTTTACGTTATCTTCTATTGAATATTTTGTTTTGGTCAAAATATGTTTAATTTCCTAAGAGCTCTTTCCTATGTCTTTTTTTTTAAAATAGCACTCAGTTCTTTTTTCAGAGATGTAATATTTTCACTTATCTCCCTGAGGTTGTTACAGTTTAGGTTTTCTTTTGTTCCCTAAGTGTCTTCTGATCCCTCCTCCAAAGTTTTTCCTTAGTATTTTGTTGTTTTTGAGTAGGGGGTTGACGTTGTCTTGTTGGAAATTTTCCTTGAATATCTGGTGATCCTTGGCTATTTGTTCATAATTAAAACAATTAAAAGCCTGAAGGAAGCTCTCTGCATGAATAAAGCTTATCAACTGCTGATCTTCACCACAAGATGATGGAGTAGCAAGCTGGCTTTTCTCTGCAGCCATTCCAAATAATTTTCCAAATCTCTGCCAGGAAGGTAGTATATGTGTGACTACCAGTGTTGCTTCTCACAGCTGGGAAGTACTACCCTTTAGCATGCAGAATTCAATTTAATTCCCTTTTTTTCAACTTGGGCCTAACAGCTCAGATGATTCTAGAGCCTCTTCATCTGTTCAGTTTCCCCAGAGAAAAAGTCTCCAATACTCTGCTAAGAAAAGGTAAAGTCACCTGGTGGTAAAAGAGATCTTGGGACCTAACTGTTCCTTAGAATAGTCTTTTTCTTCTTTCCCACCCTACCTGGCACCTAGTATATCCAAGTTTTGGGCCTTCTGGAGTTCTGCTGGGAGGCTCAACCAGTATAACCCCTCTTCAGGAACTTAGGTAGTGGTCTCTCTGCTCTGAGTCAGTGACCACTTCTCCATCAACTTCAGAATCTTCCAAAAATCTTCCGATATATCTCAGCTATTGTTTCCTTTCCTACTCACTTTGCCCTTGTGGATTAATATCATTTTCTTTCCTTATTGTTGCTTTAGTGGGATATGGAAAGCACCAACAGAGATAAATTCATGTACTCAATCTGCCATGTTTAATCAAATATCTCAAATAATCTTATTTAAACTACTTGTTTATTCTTTTCTCCTCCAGATTAGACATTCCTTTAAAACAGGAACTTTGTTTTTTTCATTTTTGCATCTCTAGCATATAACCCATAGAATATTTACTGAATATATGTTTCAATGATAAATTATAACAGTAATATACAGTAGAGATGGCATGGAAAGAGCACAAGATTTTAAGAAAGGCAGTTCCAAAACTTAAAAGCTGCACCAAAATAAAGTACTTAGCCCCTCTGAGCCTCAGAGTCAGATAATTGAATGGATATAAAAATCCATTACGTGGTGAGAATTAAATAATGTAATATTTTTCAAACTGAAATTTGAACTTATTAGATTATGACCAAATCAATTTAGCAGGTTGTGAGCAGCACTTTTTTTTTGAGACAGAGTCTCACTCCCATTACCCAGGCTGGAGTGTGGTGGCTCAAACAGGACTCACTGCAGCCTCAACCTCCCAGGCTCAGGTGATCCTCCCAGATAAGCCTCCCGAGTGGTTGGGACTATAGGTGTGCGCCACTAAGCCCAGCTAATTTTTCTTATTTTTAGTAGAGAAGGGGTTTTGCCAATATCGCCCAGGCTGTTCTCAAACCCTGGGCTCAAGAGATACACCCACCTCAGCCTCCTAAAGTACTGAGATTTCAGGCATGAGCTACCACATCCAGCCAAGCAGCAATTTTTTTTTTTTTTAAGATATACTTTAGGGATACCAAGAGTTCATCACATGTAATAAGCGTTGCTTTAACAAATTGTTTCAGTTGTTACAAATAAGTTTTGTATGTGTGTACTGGATTGTGATGTAAGATGTATTTCATGAAATTACCATACATAAAAGTACTAGAAAACTGAAGTGCTAAATTACATGTTCTGACTATAAGGTCACCAGAATTTCAAAAAAGGTGACCAGTGTAACTTAGAGTAGTCTGAGGAAGTTTTAAGAAGGTATGGGACTTAGCCTAGTTCTTGAAAGATAAGTAGAATTTAAGTAGATGAAAAGAGGGTATATCAGGAGATAGGCAGCATAAGTGAAGAGGCTTGCTGTCAGCCAGACGGCAGCTGTGACTTAGTTGTGTTAAAACCTGTTGACGGCCAGGTGCGGTGGCTCACGCCTGTAATCCCAGCACTTTGGGAGTCCGAGGCGGGTGGATCACGAGATCTGGAGGTTAAGACCATCCTGGCTAACACGGTGAAACCCCATCTCTACTAAAAAATACAAAAAATTAGCCGGACGTGGTGGTGGGCACCTGTAGTCCCAGCTACTCGGGAGGCTGAGGCAGGAGAATGGCGTGAATCCAGGAGGCGGAGCTTGCAGTGAGCCAAGATCGCGCCACTGCATTCCAGCCTGGGCGACAGAGCAAGAATCTGTGTCAAAAAATAAAATAAATAAAAATACAAAAAGTAGCTGGGCATGGTGGCACACACCTGTAATCCCACCTACTTGGGAGGCTGAGCAGAAGAATCACTTGAACCTGGGAGGCAGAGGTTGCAGTGAGCTGAGATCGCCCCACTGCACTCCAGACTGGGGGACAGAGTGAGACTCTGTCTCAAAAAATAAAAATAAAGTATTATGATAAATTATAACAGTAATATATGGTAGAAATGAGACCCATCTAGTAGTAAGTAGTGAGACCCTGTCTCTACAAAAAAAATTTTTTTTTAATTAGCCAGGTATGGTAGAATGCCTGTAGTCCTAGCTACTCGGTAGGATCGCTAGAGTCCAGGAGTTCAAGGCTGCAGTGAGCTATGATTGCACCACTGCCTTCCCATCTGGTTGACAGAGCAAAACTCCGTCTTCCAAAAAAAAAAAAAAAAGTGTTACAGTGTTGTCTAGTCAATATTTCTCCCTCCTCCATCAAACTCTGTCCCAAGGTGCAGAAGACCAGACCTATAGCAAAGTACACTGGCCAGATAGGCACATCATTAATGGCACTACCCAAACTCCTCACCACTTTCCTCTGGACTGTAACACCTCCCCGACCTCTACCTCCCAACTTGAGGAAAAAGGAATACATCTATTTCCCAAAGGTTTAGACAACTGTGCTTTTCCATACAGCACATATAATCAGGCATTCAGCAGCCAGAGGAAGGTTTGACTGCATTAATACCTTACTTCGAAAGATCCTACTGTCCACCTGTGTTAGAAGCCTCCCCTTCTGTGAAACACTAGGATGATGTCCTTCCGCTTCATAAGGTATTGGTCCACTTTTCCATTTCCATGGATATTTTTTGTTTTTGTTGAGACAAGGACTGACTCTATGGCCCAGGCTGGGGGTGCAGTTGCGTGATCTCAGCTCACTGCAACCTCCATCTCCCAGGCTCAAGCAATCCTCCCACCTCAGCCTCCCGAGTAGCTGGCGTGTGCTACCATGCCCGACTAATTTTCGTATTTTTAGTAGAGACGGGGTTTCACCATGTTGGCCAGGCTGGTCTCGAACTCTTGACCTCAGGTGATCCACCCGCCTTGGCCTCCCAAAGTGCTGGGATTACAGGCGTGAGCCACCGGCCCCGGCCTATTTACATGTTGGACTGAATTAGGTACGCTCAGCCCACTGGTAAAATAATAAACATTTTAGGGCTGTTTTCTCAGAAATAGAACTCTCCCTAGGAACTCTTTCACAAAGCATATCCATTTAGTATTGTTCAACTAACATTCACTGAGGGTCTTCAAGCATCAGGAACGTTCAGGGCGAGGGGCACAGCAGTGAATAAGCCAGGTACCCAGTCTAGAGGAGCTGCCATGCTAAGAGGGCGCGCAGACGCCTATGAGCTTTAGTACTGCCCGGTACTGCCGAGCACAGTAAGTGCAGGACAGAGGTAAGCACAGTGCAAGGCTCTAGGGGAAAGTCAGGAGGATCCGAGGCGTCCTGGAGAAGATCCGATCTGAACGGATCCTTTCAGGATGCACAAAAGTTAACAGGTGAAGATACACGGTACAAACAGAACAGAAGCAAAGCAACAGAGGCATCAGACAACTGCGTCCGGGGAGAAACGAAAGGCAGTTTGGCATTAAGGAGCATGCGGGCGATGAGGGGAAAACGGCCGTGGGAGCCTGCGGCGTCCGGGTCCCAAGCAGTCACTGGAGGGACAGAGGGAGGCCGGAATCTGCCACTCGGGCCGAGGCGCTGGGCATCAGGAGCGTTTCTCCTCGCCATCCACATCTGGAGCTGTCTCTGTGAGGGCTCCTGTGGGGGCTGTTCCTGGGAGGGCCGAGCAGGCGGCATTCGCGACCTGCCTCCCTCCGGGGCAAGCCAGCCCACACACCTCGGGACTCCGCTCAGAATCTAAAGAGGTGAGATCCTTGGATTATCTCGGGGCTGCTTCATGAACTCTGACCAGAAGAAAAGGGAAGGAGGAAGCAGAAGGCCGCAGGAACCAGCCCGAGACGCTATGACCCCAGAGATTCCGCAGAGTACAAGCCACCAAGTCGCCACGCCGATGACCCACGCGCGGAGCAGTCGAAGCTAGGAGACCGGAGGGACAGAGAAACCCAGGCACCGACCGCCCCCGAGCCTCAGAGGGCCAGCAGGGCCGCTGCTCGGTTTACCTTGGTCATGCCAACCCCCACCACGAACACCCGGCGCAGGGTCGCAGGCTCCCACGGGGAAGAGGACATGGCTGCACCAGTGCGGGACCGGGGCGGGCGCCGCGGACGACTGCCGGCACTGACAGGCGGAGACTGCACCAGAGCTCCCTGAAGCCCGAAGCCAGGGCCGCGGGCGGCAACACAGGCGCGTGAGAGTGCGCGTGCGTAGGGGCAGGAGGAGGGGGCGGGGTGGGGCGCGTCCTGTGGGGCGGGGAGCGTTCTCTAGCCCTTAGGCAGCCGAATCCCTAATTTGCGGACTTGGGCATGGGACTGAGTCAACCTGTCCCCATCTCTGATCCTGTGCTTAGGTTCTGTACGGTGAGCGGGAGTAGGCTTGCAGTGGGGCCTAAGACTGAGAGGAGGGGTTGGCCGGAAAGCGGACTCATGAAAGGTGACCCTGAGGAGAGCCGTTGGGGTTCGTGTTGGAATTGGCCTGTGTCCTGTTAGCGGTGGCAGTTGAGAGTGAATTCATGAATTTAAACTCACAGGACACCAAGAAAGCGGGGATGGGCAGGATCTCACACATGGATACAATGTCTAAATCAAAAAACCCAGGCTCCGTCACCAGCTGCGTGACCTTTTTAATCTTGTGAACAAAAGTTCTCCGAAAAGGAATTTGGAAGACAGAGACTTTATTCCAGCAAACCGGGGAGAAACAGCCTTCCATGTTTATTGGAGACCGGAGTCTCGCTCTGTCGCCCAGGCTGGAGTGCAATGCCGCGAACTCGGCTCACTGCAGCCTCCGCCTCCCAGGTTCAAGCAATCCTCCTGCCTCAGCCTCCCGAGTATCTGGGATTACAGGCGCGCGCCACCACGCCCCGCTAATTTTTGTATTTTTAGTAGAGATGGGGTTTCGCCATGTTGGCCAGGCTGGTCTGGAACTCCTGACCTTAGGTGATCTACCCACCTTGGCCTCCCAAAGTGCTGGGATTACAGGCGTGAGCCACCGCGCCCGGCTCCCCGGTTTATTTTATCTTATGTAAAAATGCAGATTCATTGAGCTAGATGAATGCATAAGTGACTATTTCTCTACCCCCCTCACATGTGAAGGTTGATCAAAGACTCAGAAGAATGCAACCGTTTGCCTCTTATCTACCCACATCTTTTTAAAATTTATTCATCTTTCCCCAATATCTGCCCCTTCCCCTATAAAAACTGAAGCCCTCAAAATCATCTTTGGAGAAAGGCACGGACCTGTCTCCAAAGATGATGCACGTCCTTAAACTTGGCAAAATTAACTTCTAAATTAATTGAGATCCGTTTCATATACTTTTCGGTTTGCAGTATCAGCATTTAGAAAGGCTCTCCTAGAAGATTCTAAGGATTGCTTCTTGGCCATTTGGCTAAGATCAAGTTTAGGAGATTCTAAGAAGCCCCCTCTGTGCTAAGTAAAGAACTACTGAGCTAGGACTAGACCAACTTAGTAAAATTGCTGCGCTCAGTGATGCACGCCTCCCATCTGCTCAGGAGGCTTCGGCAGAAAGATCACTTGAGCCTGGGAATTCAAGGCTACAAATGTGCTATGATTACACCTCTGAATAGCCACTGCACTCCAGCCTGGGCAACATACCAAGACCACGTCTCTAAAAAACCAAAACGAAACAAAAAAAAAAAAAAAAGAAAAACAAACACAAATCAGGGCACTGACATGTACAGTTGTTTCTTGAAACTGATGGACTGACAAGACAGCAATATGATTGGTGGATCAGACAAAGTTACCAACCTAATAGAACAACAAGTCCTAAGGTCAAGATTAATTGTTATGTAACAAATCCTGGCTGTCCACTGGATATTGCTTTCAAAATAAGAGTCCATAGAGGGCAGAGGGGATAGATAGTAATATAAAAGGTATTTGTTAATACCGAAAAGACTGAGAAAAAACACTTCCCTTTCCAATGTGAAGGACTAAATAATCCAAACTTTTCCCACTATAAAACACAGACTTTTCTAAGTCATTGGATGTGGGGCTCTGGGGTAGCCTGAGCTGTTTGTCCCACACCAAGATGCTTCAAAACATTATTAAAAATGTTTGGATCCCCATGAAGCCCTATTATAACCAAGTTTATCAGGAGATTTGAGTAGGAATGGGGTTAATGAGCCTCATCATTTATAAAATCAGGAGTACTGATAAAATAAGTAAAATATTGAAAGCTTCTCCACCTGCTTATGGTCATCACTAACCAGCTTCACTTAGCATGCACATGAAATGAAACATTAGTCGACCTGTGAATTTAAGCAAGCTATGTTAGAAAGGAACCTGGAAAATCACTGTACACTTATATAAGTACCACTTACTTTGTGGCATGAATAAGTATACCAAAAAAAAACACCCAGAAATGCCAGATAAAATACAATAAATATCATTTTAAGCTGGGTGTGGTGGTACGAGACTGTAATCCCATCTACTTGAGGAGCTGAGGCAGAAAGGCTGCTTGAGTCCAGGAGTTCAAGGCTGCAGTGAGCTACGATTATGCCTGTGAATAGCCACTGCACTCCAGCCTGGACAGCATAGTGAGACCTTTTCTGTTAATACAAAAAGACAAAAAGCAGCGAGGCACAGTGGCTCATGCCTGTAATCCCAGCACTTTGGGAGGCCAAAATGGGAGGATTGATTGAGCCCAAGAATTCAAGACCAACCTGGGCAACATAGCTCCCTATCTCTAAAAAAAAAGAAGAAAAAACAAGAAAAATCTTTTTAAATGGGTGGATGCCAGGCATGGGGGCTCACACCTGTAATCCCAGCACTTTGGGAGGCTGAGGTGGGAGGATCACTTGAGGCCAGGTGTTTGAGACCAGCCTGGCAACATAGGGAGACCTCTGTCTCTACAAAAAATTTAACAATGAGCCAAGTGTGGTGGCCCACTCCTGTAGTCCCAGCTACTCGGAAGGCTGAGACGGGAGGATCCCCTGAGCCCAGGAGTCTGAGGTTGTAGTGAACTGACTGCACCACTGTACTCCAATGTGGGCAACAGAGTGAGACCCTGTCTCAATAAAATAGAATACAATAAATGCATGGAATATGGAGGAGGGAAGGTTTTTCTTTTAATCTTATACCCAATTATAGTTTGTATGTTTTGTTTTTGCTTCTTTTTTTTTTTTAAGACAGAATCTCACTCTGTTGCCCAGGTTGGAGTGCAGTGGTGTGATCTCAGCTCACTACAACCTCCACCTCCTGGGTTCAAGCGATTCTTGCACCTCAGCCTCCTGAGTAGCTGGGATTACAGCTGCCCACAACCACGCCTGGCTAATTTTTGTATTTTTAGTAGAGACAGGGTTTCACCATGTTGGCCAGGCTGGTCTTGAACTCCTGACCTCAGGTGACCCACCCACCTCAGCCTCCTAAAGTGCTGGGATTACAGGCATGAGCCACCGGGCCTGGCTAGTTTGTATGTTTTGATTTTGTGTATATATTAGTTTTATTTTTGCTAAGGCATGTTTTTAATTTTTGTTATTGTGCTTTGTTTTCATTTTCATTATTTATTTTGAGTAAGTTATACTTAAAACAAAAATCAAGATTCAAAAAGTATAAAAGGGGCCAGGCATGGTGGTTCACACCTGTAATCCCAGCACTTTGGAAGGCCAAGGTGGACAAATCGCCTGAGCTCAGGAGTTCGAGACCAACCTTGGCAACATGGCAAAACCCCGTCTCTACAAGAAATACAAAAATTAGCCAATGTTGTGGCATGTACCTGTGGTCCCAGCTACTCAGGAGGGTGAGGTGGAAGGATCACCTGAGCCCGGGAGGCAGAAGCTGCAGTGAGCCAAGATACTGCCACTGCACTCCAATCTGGGCAACAACAACATCCTGTGTCCAAAAACGTATAACAGGTCAAACCGTAAAACTTGTCTCTCTTACCCTTATTCCCAGCCTCTCGGTTCTTCTTCCCTATCCTTCCAAAGATGTTTTATGTAAATACAATCAAATATACACATGCATACTCTTATCCCCCTTGTTAACACAAATTTTTGTTTTCTTTATTATTTCTTTCAATAGAGGTGGGGTTTTGCTATGTTGGCTAGGTTGGTCTTGAACTCCTGGCCTCAAGCAATCCTCCTGTCTCGGCCTCCCAAAGTGCTAGGTTCATGAGCATGAGCCACCAGACCCGGCCAAATTTTAGCTTTCTTTACACACTATTCTGCATTTTGACTTGTTTCATATACCAATAGATTTTGAAGATTGTTTCATATCAATGCATAAACAGTTTCCTGTGTTTTGTTATAGCTGCATAGTATTCAGATTATTGATGTACCTTTTTTTTTTTTTTAAGTAGAGATAGGGGCTTGCTATATTTCCCAGGCTGGTTTCAAACTCCTGGCTTCCAGGGACCTACCTGCCTTGGCCTTCCAAAGTGTTGGAATAATAGGGTGAGCCACCACACACAGCCCCATAATTTATTTAACCAACCCTCTATTGATGGATATTGAGACTGTGATATAGTTTGGGTGTTGGATCCCTCCAAATCTCACGTTGAAATATGATTCCCAATGTTGGAGGTGGGCCCTGTTGGGAGGTGACTGGATCATGGGGACAGATCCCTTGTGAATGGTTTAGCACCATCCCCTTGGCGATAAACTGGGACCTCCCCACCTAATTTTCTTGTTCCTATTCTCGCCATGTGACATGCTGGATCCCTGTCACCTTCAGCCATGATTGTAAGCTTCCTGAGGCCTCACCAGAAGCACATGACAGCACCATGTGCTTCCAGTCTTTTGCTATTATAAACAATGCTGCAATGTACAGCCATGAACACGTGTCATTTCACAGCTGTGTGGATTTATCTGTAGGTTAAATTTCTAAAATTGGAATTTCTGGGGCAATGAGCTTGTGCATTTATAATTTTGATATAAATTACCAGTTGCTTTTCATTTAAAGACATTCACATCAGCAATGTGAGAGTGCTTTGTATATACTGTGTTTAAGAGAATAATTTTTTTTTTTGGGACGCAGTTTCGCTCATTGCCCAGCCTGGAGTGCAGTGGCGCGATCTCAGCTCACTGAACCTGTGCCTTCCGAGTTCAAGTGATTCTCCTGCCTCAGCCTCCCAAGTAGCTGGGATTACAGGCGCCCGCCACCACGCCCAGCTAATTTTTTTGAATGTTTAACAGAGACAGGGTTTCGTCATGGTGAAACCCTGCCTCTACTAAAAATACAAAAAAAATTAGTTGGGCGTGGTGGCGCGTCCCTGTAATCCCAGCTACTTGGGAGGTTGAGGCAGGAGAATCGCTTGAACCCGGAGGCGGAGGTTACAGTGAGCCAAGATCAAGGCACAGCACTCCAACCTGGGCGACACAGCGAGACTCCGTCTCAAAAAAAAAAAAAAAAAAAAAAAGTGAGGCGCAAATGGGAGGTGAAGCAGTGAGGTTCGCAAGTGTAGACACGCTCAAGGGACTCATTAAATGTCATTTCATTTAAAAAATGAAATTGAGCATATGTGCAAGCAAGGTTCACACACCCCATTTAATCTTCACACCACCACGGGGTAGTCACTATTATCCCCATTTTACAGGATTAAAACACTGACGCTGGGAGGTTGACAGAGTTACACCAAATCACACAGAGGAGCTGGGCTTCCCCCGACCTCCTCCGCTCAAGTCTCCCTGTCCCCGGGAGGTGCGGAAGGAGGCAACAGACGCTTGGCCCATAGGTGGAGCAATTGGCGAAGGCTTCGCCCGACGCCGGAACTGCGAGCTCTCAGCGGGAGCCGAGACGGTGCAGGGCCGGAGAAGCACCTTCACTCCCAGCCTGCGCCCCGATGCTGCGCGTTCTGTGCCTCCTGCGCCCCTGGAGGCCCCTTCGGGCCCGCGGCTGCGCTTCCGACGGGGCGGCCGGGGGCTCAGAGATCCAAGTGCGCGCCCTGGCGGGTCCGGACCAAGGTAAATGTGCAGTTCCGGGGCGGCGCATGACGCGACTGGGACTAGGCCGGAGGCAGCGGGGGACCGGCAGGTGGGCCGCTCAGTGCGTTGAAGGATTCGATCCCCAGTCCCTCCCTCCCAGTTCTAGGCGCCCCAAACCGCTCCAGGCCTGAGAGGTGGGCGGCCGCCTTAGTGGCTCCAGACTCTAGCTGGGGGCGGGGGGCCTCTGGCAACCTCGGTCTCTTCAAAGGCCCTTTGGGGTCTTCCGACTGTGTGGAAGGGGGAGCGGGGTCCGCACGGGTAGGACTGGGCCCCGCGGCCCCCAGGCCAGGAGCGTTTAAGTGCGCGTTCCCCTCCCCCGCCAAGGGTCCTGGCCCGGTTCGGGGGCGGAGGCAGCGGAGCCAGTCCCAGTGCCCAGTGCGGCAGCGGGCAGAGTGAGGAGGGTGCCTCTCCAGCCGCGCGCCCGCCCTGGGCCGCTAGCGAACCTTTGCGTCCTTCTGGCTCCAGGGAAAAGTTCGCTGTTTCTCCGCCTTTTGGCCAAGATCAAGGATAGTATGGAGCGGGGACGAGGGGTGGGGGGCAAAGTTCGCGGGTCACTGGCAGAAAACGCCTCTGATCGCGTGTTGCGTTTTTGTTGTTGTTGTTGTTTGAACTTCTGGAGCATTCAGTGGTGCTGATAACGCTCCTCAGTCCTCTGCTGGTAACCATCAGGGCTAGGCGCTTCTCCTGCCTTGGGTCTCCTCCCCGCATCTCATCCCCTGTCTCCTGCATTTGATACACAGATGGCATTGTACTGTACATTTCGTTGTATTGCTTCTTTTTTTTTTTTAACAAAAGTTTATTCTTAAATGTACAACAGCTCCAAGACAACACTTAATTCCAGCCATAGGTGGCAAAAGATGTTATGGCAGGGAATAGAGAGGTTTAAATACTGATGAAATAAAGGGTCACCATCTCCTTAGGCACAGGGAACAGCTTACTTTTTGCCAGATTTCTTAATTCCACTTGTGGCCAAGGGCCCCTTCCCCGTGGCCTTCCATTTTAGCTCCTCGAGTTTCTTCTGCTCCTCTTTTTGTTTCTGCTTGAAAGCCTTATCTTCCTCGTCCATCTCCTTGGCCTGCATTCTTGGGCTGTTTCAGTGGCTTCTTGCCACCTTCGTGGCCGGACATGGCGCCTGCCGCCCCTTCCCCAGCAGTATTGCTTCCTTTTTACCGGCTTGACAACAAGTTTGAAGCGGGGCTTTGCCATAAAATCCAGTTCCTTGCTCCCTGCTGTTGCCCACTGTTCCCAAGTGTGCATCTACCACCTTCAGTGGACACGGACAGGCCACCTAGAGTCCCACTGCACCACTTGGTGAGAATTTCCTTGAACAGTTAATATTGCTGAACCTTATACCCCCAATCTCATGCTTAGTTCACTACCCAACTGGCAACAGCTCTTAAGACAGTCAAGATTATTCTCCCCACTTTACAGATTAAAAAACTGAGGCACAGAAGGTTAAGTTATTTGAACCAGGTCTGATTTCAAAGCCTGTGTTCTCAACCATTAGGTAATCACTGGCTCTTCTAGTAATTCAGTGACTCAAAATACAGACTTGTACATGTGTAAACACAAAATTATCATGGGTTAAAGACCTTTAGGCTCACTTGCAAATATCGGGAATCATTTTATCCAAAAAAGAATGACAAGGATCAGCAGATTAAGCCTCTGCCCCTGCCAGAGGGCTCAAAGGGCAGGAAAAGGCAGTGAGAGAAGGAGAGACAGAAACCAAGATGACAGTGCAGAGGAGGCATGGGGATGAGATCACACACGGAGCCCTCACAGGGAATGAGTTGGGGTCATTTGATGTTCATATTAGAAGCTGCAGGTTCTGCCTTCCACTGGGGCTGATGGCACAAGAGCACTGTTACATTTTACCTGCTGCCTTTGAGCTTGAGGTTGGGTGGTAAACCATTCTTCACTGTTCTTAGCGGCTTTATTTCTCATAGAGTCATGTGTTGCTTAACAACGGGGCTACATTCTGAGAAATGCATCATTAGGTGATTGTGGTCATTGTGGGAGCATCACAGAGTGCACCTACACAGTCCTAGATGGGGTAGCCTACTGCACACCAAGGCTACATGGTGTATAGCCTGTTGCTCCTAGAATACAAACCTGGACAGCATGGTACCGGGCTGAATACTGTAGGCAACTGTAACACAATGGTAAATGTGTATCTGAACATAGAAAAGGCACAGTAAAAATACAGTCTAAAAGATTTTTTAAATAGTACACCTGTACTGGGCAGTTACCATAAATGGAGCTTGCAGGACTGGAAGCTGCACTGGGTGAGTCAGCGAGTGAATGGTGAGTGAATGTGAAGGCCTAGGACAGCAGGGACTGGTTTGGCACCAGGGACTATTTTCATGAAAGACAGTTTTTCCATGGACTTGCGGGCGGACAGATGGTTTGGGGATGAAACTGTTCCACCTCAGATCATCAGGCATTAGATTCTCATAAGGAGCTCGCAACAACCTAGATTCCTCACATGCACAGTTCACAATAGGGTTCGCACTCCTATGAGATTCTAATGCCACCACTGATCTGATAGGAGGTGGAACTCAGGTGGTAATTCAAGCCATGGGGAGCTGCTGTAAATACAGATGAAGCTGCTCATCTCCTGTTGTGTGGCCCAGTTCCTAGCAGGCCACAGACTGGGATGGGTCCACAGCCCGGGGGTTGGGGACCCCTGGCCTAGGACATTACTGTACACTACTATAGACTCTATAACACTGTACACCTAGGCTACACTAAATTTGCTTTACAAATGTTTCTTTCTTCAATGATAAATTAACCTTAGCTTACTCTGTTTTTACTTTATAAACTTTTTAATTTTTTCAACTTTTGACTCTTTTGTAGTAACACTCAGCTTAAAACACAAACACATTGTACGGCTGTACAAAAAATGTTTTCTTCTTTAGATCCTTATTTTATAAGCTTTTAAAAATTTTAATTCTTAAACTTTTTTTGTTAAAAACAAAGACACAAGCACACACACGAGCCTAGACCTATCACTGTCTTCCACCTCCACATCTTGTCCCACTGGAAGGTCTTCAGGGGCGATAACGTGCATGGAGCTGCCATCTCCTATGATAACAATCGGGAATACCTACTGAAGGACCTGCCTGAGGCTGTGTTACACTGAACTTTTTTCTTTTCTTTTTTTTTTTTTTTTTAATAAGTAGGAGTACACACGGCCCAGGCCAGGTACAGTGGCTCACCTGGCTCACTCTTGTAATCCCAGCACGTTGAGAGGGTGAGGCAGGCAGATTGCTTGAGCCCAGGAGTTTGAGACCAGCCTGGGAAACATAGTGAAACCCCTTCTCTACAAAAAAATACAAAAATTATCCAGGCATGGTTGTGCATACCTGTAGCCCCTGCTACTCAGGAGGCTGAGGTGGGAGGATGGCTTGAGCCGGGGAGGTCAAGGCTGTCCAATATCAAGGATTCCTGATATTTGCAAGTGAGCCCAAAGGTGTTTAACCCATGAGTGAGCCATGATCGTGTTACTGTACTCCAGCCTGGGCAACAGAGTAAGACCCTGTCTCAAAAAAATTAAAAATAAAAAGTAGGAGTATATTCTAAAATAATGGTAAAAATAATATTGTAAATATATAAACCTAAAACATAGTCTTTTATTATCATTATCAAGTATTATGTTGTGGGCCTAATTGTATGTGCTGTGCTTTTGTATAACTGGTAAAGCAAGCTAGTTTACACCAGCCTCACCACCAGCATTTGAGTGTTGCATTGCGCTATGATGTTATGACAGCTATGGTGTCACTAGGCAATAGGAATTTTTCAGCTCCATTAGAGTCTGATGGGACTTATATGTCTTATATGTGGTCTGTAGCTGACCAACTAAAACATCATCATGCTGTGCATGACTGTAATTAATGGCTGTCCTTCAACTCCTTAGCTGGGCACTAAGGTTCTCCACCACAAGCTGACCTTTCCATCCTCCCTCCTCTACCCATGGGCTCATTTGAAGGTGTGTTACCTCTGTGTTTTGCTCTAGCTGTGCCCTGACTTGGCTCCTCTTCCTTCCTTTCTGCTTATGGAAATCTTTTTGGAACTCCCCTGCTCTGCTGCTCCGTCCCCCACACTGTCCTTTTATGTTTCGTGTGTCTGAACTTGTCTCTCTTCTAGGCTGTTAGCTCTTTAAGAGTCAGGATTGCCAGCTGGGTCCAGCTGTTATTTGAGCAAATCCTCCTTGTTTCCGGGCGTCAGTTTCCTCTTCTGTATAGTAAAGTGTTGTTAAATCAGTTGTTCTCCACACTACCCTTCAGTGGTTTCTTTTTTTTTTTTTTTCTTTGAGATGGTCTCACTCTGTTGCCCAGGCCGGAGTGCAGTGGCGTGATCTCGGCCCACTGCAGCCTCTGCCTCTTGGTTTCAAGCGATTCTTTGCCCCAGCCTCCCAAGTAGCTGGGATTATAGGTGTGTGCCACCACGCCTGGCTAATTTTTGTCTTTTTAGTAAAGACGGGGTTTCACCATGTTGGTCAGGCTGGTGTTGAACTCCTGACTCAGGTGATCCACCCGCCTCGGCCTCCCAAAGTGCTGGGATTACAGGCGTGAGCCACCACGCCTGGCCCTTCTAGTGGTTTCTGTTGACTTCTACCCACAACACCTCGCCTGTGACCCAAGCCATCTGGACAGAAGTGATCCTAGGTCAGCTGCTCAGTGGTATGGTAGGTTTGGTAAGAGTGGGAAGGGTGCAGCACAGCCCCATCCCCGCTGTTGGGGTCAGAAGGGCAATGTTCCCAGCATCGGGGCTAGACTAAGAACACAGGGACCTTGGCTGATTACTGTCCATTTCTCCAGGACCTGGCATGTGGTAGTGCAAATTAAATGTTGCACAATTGAATGTCGGCAGCCAAAGACACCCTGCCTGGCTCCTGGGGGGCTCCCAGCTTAAAGTTCAGATACTGTATTAGGTCCGAGACTTGCCCTAGTATCTGGGCGTTTTACACAAACTCTGGTTAGACACTTAAATGCATTATCTCTTTTAATCCTAACAATAACCTTTTTATTATTTCTCTTACAGATCAGGAAATTGAAGGCCAGAAGGGTAAAGTGGTTTGCCCAAGGCCATGGGGCTGGTGTGTGGCTGAGTTGTGGCTTGAGCTAAGGGCTTGTAAGAGTTGACAGTCAGTATTCCGAGAGGGAGATGTAGGTGGAGACAGGAGATGAAGCTGAAAGATGAGAGACAGTCAGCCAGAGAGAATGGAAGGAAAGAACAGGAAAGCAGAGAGAGGAGTGTCTGCCAGTCCCAGGATACCACGGCTATATCAGCTTTCTATTACTACCTAACAAATGATCACAAACTTTGATACTCAAAGTCACACACATTTATCATTTTTTAGTTTCTGTACGTCAGAAGTCAAGGCACAACTTAGCAGAGTTCTCTGCTTCAGGTCTTGCCAGGCTGGGCTGCAGTCGGGAGTTGGCCAGGGCTGTGGTCTCATCCCAGGCTTGACGGGAAAGATCTGCTTCCAAGGTCGTCAGGTTGCTGAGACCTGAATTCACCTCCTATGGTTGTTGGACTGAAGTCCTGTTCTCTTGCTGATTGTTGGCCGGGGGTCACTCTCAGCAATTAGAGGTTGCCCGCAGTCCTTTGCTACTTGACCCTCTCGTTAGGCCCATGAGTGTCTCTAATAAGACAGAGCCTTTTATATACTATAACCGAATTACAGAAGTCACATTACCTTCACCATATAACTTAACCTAATCTCAGGAGTAACATTGTATAACCTTTGCTGTATACTATTGCTTAGAAGCAATTCACAGGTCCCACCCACATGCAAGGGAGGGGATTATTCAGGATGTAAACATGAGGGCCACTCTGGGGACCTTGGATCTAGACTGCTCTGAAGTTTGTGGGGGTCAGGGTCCTTGACTCCTCCTGATCTGGCATCTCTCTATCCACTGCAGTCTCCCTTCTCCAGAGTTGCCCCATTTTCTCTCCTGGAGCACTGGAGCTGGAAGCGACCTTATGGCCATCTGCACACCTCTCTGGAGCCTCCAGACCTGCTGGGCTCTAAGAGCTCTTTGCAGGTTTCTGGGGAGGCTAAGGAAGTCCAGTTTGCCTGAATGTTACAGTTCTTTGCCCCTAGCCATAGTTCTGTAATTCCTGGCTGAACACCCTGTCCCTTGAGAGCCCAGAAACTTTCATTGGCCTTTCTGTGTCTCTGATCAGCTTAAACTGAGAATGCCAACTTCATAAACACTGCTTGTTTACAGACAAAGCTGAGGACCCTGGGAGATAATAATAAGGGGTCTTTGAAGGCCAAAGGATTGGGAAACACTCCTCTGGGCACCTGCTGGATTTCAGCCCTGGGAAGACCTGAAATGTCCATCCTGATTTTTCGTAGGAGGAGAAACAGCCTAGAAGGGATGATAAGGGTGTGAGCTCCTTCCCAGAGCCCATCTCTCTTCCCCACACCCTGACTAGATGGCGGGGGTGAATTGGGGCCAGAGTGGGTGCAAGAGTCAGATTGGGGGGGCCTTATGGTCGGTATTAAGGAGTTGAACTTTATTTTGAGGAAAAGAAGGGGGAAGGGGAGGGACGTGGTCGGATTGGGGTAAGAAAGATGACTGTGACCCAAATGTGGGAACGAATGTGTGTGTGCTGGGAGGGAGCAAGACTGAGGACTCGAGGGCCAGGTGGGTGATCCGAGGGATGCAGGAAAGAGCCTATGCCAGATTAATGGCTGTGAGAAGCGGTGTGAGCTGAGAGGCCTGAGATCTCTTTAAGAGGTTGGATTAGCAGGCCTTAGTGACTGAGTGCATTTTGTAGGTGAGGTAAGAGCGAGGTGACAGGATCAACTTCTGAGTTGATAGCAAGGTCATTGGCTCATCAATGGAGCAGGACATACCAGTTGAGATATCAAGTAGGCATTTGGCTATTCAGGCCTGGGGTGCACAGGAGAGCTCTGGGCTCCTGGGCACACACGGGAGCCCTGGGTGTACAGGAGGCAGGCGTGTGTTAGCTGTGGAAGGGAGGTCCCTCCTGCCTCAGCTTATCCTGCTCTCCCTCTGCCTGAACTCCTCCAGTTCTGGAAGGCACCCTGCAGTCCCACACCTGGGCCCTCTTCTCTGCCACTCCCTCTGCCTGCAACAGGCTTCTCTCCTGGACTGCCCCCTTCCCTGCACCTTGCCAACATGCATGCACACACACAGGCACTCATGCACACGCTCACATATGCACCCATGCATGCACACTTACATGCACACATGCACTCTTACATCTTTTGCCTGGCCAATTCCTACTCTCCTGTCAGCTCTCAGCTTAAAGGCCACTGCCTCCTCTGATAACTCATTGCTGACCTTCTATACTAGGGCTCCCCTCTGCCCACTGGAGGCCCCTTACTTGTTTGTCCTTTTTCTCCAAGTTCTCCTCACAAATAGTAATTATTTAATGTCTGTCTTCCCCACTAGGCTGTAGGTTCCATGAGGACAGGCCTTGAGTCTGTCCTGGTCTCTGGAATCACGGTGTCTAGTAGAGGCCAGCACACAGCAAATATATAAATGTACAAATGAGTGAATGAAGAGAATCTGATTGGCCTTAAGGAACTTACGCACTTAAAATAATTGGGCAGAAGAGAAGCAGTGAAGGAGTGCAGAGGCATCACCTGAAAGGTAGGAGGAAGGAGAATGGGGGCCTGCCAAAGCCAAGGCAGATACGTGTCATTATGCATCTGTGTAAACCCACAGAGTGTACACCACCAAGAGCGAACCCCAGTGTACACTAGGGCCCCCGGGTGGCGACAGTGCATCAGTGTAGGTTCGTCAGTTGCAACACGTGCCTCTGGTGGGGGATGGGGATTGCGGAAGGGGCTGTGCCTGTGTAGGGCCAGGGAGTATAGGTGAACTGTATTGAATTGTATTTTCCACTCCATTTTGCTGTGACCCTAAAACTGCTCTAAGAAAATCATCTATTTATAAACAAATAAATATTCTTCTAAGAAGCCAAAGCAGAAAACGATCAAGTGGAGTGTGTTAATGTCAGCAAAGGTTTTTGCTGCCACGAGGTTGAGGCAAGGAGAGAAACGTGTCCCTTGGTTAGTGATGTGGCTATATTCATCACTTTAATGAGAATAATGTCTGCTGAGTGATGGGGCTGGAACCTAGATTGGAGAAGGTTTGAGCGAATGGAAGGTAAGAAAGTGACTAAATGAGTATAGAAAACTACCAAGAAGCTTGGCTGTTGCTGGTGAAAGAATATTACACAAGTAGGGCCAGGATTACTGTCTTGCCAAACAGGACAGAACACTAAGCCTCTGTATTTAGTTGCTAATTTATTGTGACAGAGGAGCATATTGATCTGTCCCCGTGATTGTGCAGTTAGCAAAACCCAGGCTTTGAGAAACCCTGTAGGTCAAATACCCCAGGCTCCTCCACAGATAATCTCTGAGGGAAAGACAGAGTTGTGGGGAGCATGTGGGGGTTGTACCAGGATTTAAAAGATACACGGCAATTTTAGAAATTAGCAAGTCTAAACTATGATACCTAAGGATGCACACCTGGGTGATAAAATTATAAAGAAATGGCCGGGTGTGGTGGCTCACACCTGTAATCCCAGCACTTTTAGAGGCCGAGGTGGGTGGATCACCTGAGGTCAGGAGTTCGAGACAAGCCTGACCAACATGGAGAAACCTCATCTCTACTAAAAATACAAAATTAGCCGGGCGTGGTGGCACATGCTGTAATCCCAGCTACTCCGGAGGCTGAGGCAGGAGAATCGCTTGAACCTGGGAGGCGGAGGTTGTGGTGAGCCAAGGTAACAAGAGTGAAACTCTGTCTCAAAAAAAAAAATTATAAAGAAATACACAGAGGTGATTACTATAAGTCAAAGAGTTACTTGTTCAGGGGGAAGGAGGGAGCTACGATTGAGTCAGGGCATGTGGTGGGGTTTCTGAGGTGGCCGGCACAGTTCTATTTCTTGATTTGGGTGGTGGTTATAAGGGTATTTGCCTTATCATAACTCCTCAAACTCTAGAGGAAGAAGTCTGCTGTGAAGAAAAGATTAAGGCCGCGGTGGCTCAAACCTGTAATCCCAGCACTTTGGGAGGCCGAGGCGGGCAGATTGCTCGAGCTCAGGAGTTTGAGACCAGGCTGGGCAAGATGGCAAAACCTCGTTCCTACAAAAAGCACAAAAATTAGCCAGGTGTAATGGCGCATGCTTATAGTCCCAGCTATTTTGGGGGTTGAGGGAGGAGAATTGCTTGAGCCCAGGAGGTTGAGGCTACAGTGAGCCATGTTTACACCACTGTACACCAGCCTGGGTGACAGAGTTGAGACCCTGTCTAAAAAAAAAAAAAAAACAGCAAAACTCTCCCCCGCCAAAAATAAAAAAAAAAAAGATGAATATGGAGGGAGTTGTAAAATTAAAGAAGGTACATGGGTGCATGTGTGCTTGTGTGTGTGTGTGTCTGTCTGTCTAACAACAGCAGAAGCAGGCAAGGGCTACTGTGGTAGTCACTGTTGTTCCTCTCCCCATTTTGCTTCACAGTTTACAAGTCCTTCCACTTTCTCTCTGAGGCAGAAAGAGCAAGGGTTTTTCTCTCCATTTTATGGTTGGGAAAATTGAGGCCTGCCTGAGTGTGTGACTTGTGGCAAGTCACTCTGGTCATCTAGGGCAGAGGCTCCCCAGATCCCAGGCCTCCTGCCTCCAGTCCCCAGCCCGCAGCCCAGGATTAGGCAGAGCCAGCTGCTTTCCCGTGGCTGCCCTGACTCCTTACAGGGATCACTGAGATTCTGATGAACAGACCTTCTGCCCGCAATGCCTTGGGGAATGTCTTCGTCAGTGAGGTAAGAAAGGGCGGGCGCCAGGGTGGGCTGGGGATGGGCTGGCACTATCTAACTGGGTGTCCTCTGTAGCTGCTGGAAACTCTGGCCCAGCTGCGGGAGGACCGGCAAGTGCGTGTCCTGCTCTTCAGAAGTGGAGTGAAGGGCGTGTTCTGTGCAGGTAGGTTCTCTCTCCTGCCCCCATCTGTGCTCTGCAGGGTGCCCACCAGCCTCCAGGGGTTGGGGGAAACCTTAGATCAGCTTCAGCATGGGACTCATTGTTGCCATTTTACCGATGTGAATGCAGAGACTCAGGGAGGAAAATTCCCTTGCCTAGGATCACATAGCTAGTAAGGGGTAGGATAGACTTTAGTTTGAACTTGGCCTCTCTAACCCTTAGATCTTAGTTATTTCGGCTATGCCATGCTTTGTTCTGACCCTTCACGGGGGAAATAAGAAAATGGAGTCCAAGACGGGTACAGTGGCTCACATCTGTAATTCCAGCACTTTGGGAGGCTGGGGCGGGTAGATCACTTGAGGCCCGAGTTCGAGACCAGCCTGGCCAACATGGTGAAACCCCTTCTCTACTAAAAAATACAAAAATTAGCTGGGTATGGTGGCAGGCACCTGTAGTCCCAGCTACTCAGGAGGCTGAGGCAGGAGAATTGCTTGAACCCGGGAGGCGGAGGTTGCAGTGAGCTGAGATTGCAGCTCTAGAATTCCTGGGCTAGTTCCTGCCCCTCTCGGAGCTTCAGTTTCCGCATCTCTCACAGAAGGGCTGGAACTGATCAAAGATTTCCAAAGGCTCTCCCAGCTCTGACTTCCTGTAGTCTAGGACTGGAAGAGTCTATTTACTCTCTACTCCTGCTCACCCCTGCATCTGGCCTTTGAGGACCCCACCACGGTCACTCTTCCCGCCAAGGCGCTTGCCCACCTGCATGCCACCGTATCTTGTGCTCACTTCCGTTCTCGTTTACTTGACCTTTGACCTCTCAGCCTTCTTGGACCTTGCTGACTCTGCCTGTAAAAATTAGTCAAGTTTTAATTTTCTTATTACTTACATATTTTAGAAATTGTGGGCTGGGTGCAGTGGCTCACGCCTGTAATCCCAGCACTTTGGGAGGCCGAGGTGTGTGGATCACCTGAGGTCAGGAGTTCGAGACCATCCTGACCAATATGGTGAAACCGCGTCTCTACTAAAAATACAAAAATTAGCCAGGCATTGTGGCCAGTGCCTGTAATCCCAGCTACTCAGGAGGCTGAGACAGGAGAATTGCTTGAACCCGGGAGGTGGAGGTTACAGTGAGCTGAGATCACGCCACTGCACTCCAGCCTGGGTGACAGAGCACAACTCCATCTCAAAAAAAAAAAAAAAAAAAAAAAAAAAAAAAAAACGAAATTGTGGTGAAATATAAGTAACACAAAATTTACCGTTTTAACCATTTTTAAGTGTACAATTCAGAGTGGCATTAAGTACATTCACAATATTGTGCAATGTCACCGCTATCCATTCCCAGAACTTCTTTATCATACCAAACAAACTCAGCCTGTTCAGACAGTGACTCCCATTCCCCCTTCCCCTCCAGCCTGGGTAACCTCTATGGTACTTTGTCTCTATGTATTTATCTATTCTAAATACCTCATACCAGTAGAATCATATCATATTTGTTTTTTGGTGCCTGGCTTATTTTACTTAACATGTCCTCAAGGTTCCTCCAAGTTGTGGCAAGTGTCAGAACTCCATTCCTTTTTATGGAGTAACATTCTATTGTAATGAGTAGCATTCTATTGTATATATACCACATTTTGTTTACCCAATCATCTGTTGATAGATACTTGGGTTGTTTTCACTTTTGGCCACTGTGAAGAATGTCCCCAAATACATTGGTGTACAAGTACCGTCAGCCCTCTGCATCTGCAGGTTCCGCACCCACAGACTCAACCAACCGCAGATTGAAAATGTTAACAACAAAAATAACAATGCAACAACAAAAAATAATATAGATAAAAACAACACAGTACAACAGTTTACATAGTATTTACATTGTATTAGGTATTGTAAGTAATCTAGAGACAATTTAGAGCAAGCTTGTCCATTGTCCAACCCTCGGCCTCTGGGCCGCATGTGGCCCAGGATGGCTTTGAATGTGGCCCAACACAAATTTGTAAACTTTCTTAAGACATTATAAGATTTTTTTGTGTGGTGTTTTTTTTTTTTTTTTTAAGCTCATCAGTTACCGTTGGTGTTAGTGTATTTTATGTGTAGCCCAAGACGATTCTTCCAGTGTGGCCCAGGAAAGCCAAAAGATTGGAACCCCTGGCTTAGAGTATACAGGAGGATATATGAGCATAGGTCATATTGCAAATACTACAATATTTTATACAAGGGGCTTGAGCATCCATGGATTTTTGTATCTGAGGGGTCCTGGAACCAGTCCCCTACGGATAAGGAGGGACTGTATCTGTTTGAGTCCTTGCTTTCAACTCTTTTGGGTATATACTTGGGACTAGAATTGTATGGTAATTCTGTTTAACTTTTTGGAACTGGTTTCCACAGCAGCTGCATGGGTTTACACTCCCACCAGCAATGCACCAGGGTTCCATGTCTCCACATCCATGCCAACTTTTTGTTTTGTTTGTTTTAAAAGCCATTCTAATAGACGTGAGGTAGTATCTCATTGTGGTTTTTGATTTGCATTTGTCTAATGACGATGAGATTGAGCAACTTTTCAAGTGCTTATTGACCATCTGTGTATCTCCTCAGGAGAAATGTCTATTCAAGTCCTTTTTCCTTTTTTTTTTTTTTTTTTTTTTTTTGAGACTCTGTCACCCAGGATGGAGCGCAGTGGCACAATCTTGGCTCACTGTAACCTCTGCCTCCTGGGCTCACGCGATTCTCCTGCCTCAGCCTCAACCTCCCTAGTAGCTGGGATTACAGGTGCCCACCAACACACCTGGCTAATTCTTGTATTTTTAGTAGAGACACTGTTTCACCACGTTGGCCAGGCTGGTCTTGAACTCGTGACCTCAGGTGATGTGCCCACCTCGGCCTCCCAAAGTGCTGGGATTACAGGTGTGAGCCACTGCGCCTGGCCCTTTGCCCATTTCTGAATTGGGTTGTTTTGTTGTTTAGTTGGAGAAGTTCTTTATATATCCTAGATATTAAACCTTTATCAGATATATGATTTACACATATTTTCTTCCATTCTGTGTGTTGTCTTTTCTTTTTTTTCTTTTTTCTTCTTTGAAACGGAGTCTTGCTCGTCACCGAGGCTGGAGTGCAGTTGGTGCGATCTCAGCTCACTGCAGCCTTCACCTCCTGGGTTCAGGTGATTCTCCTGCCTCCGCCACCTGAGTAGCTGGGATTATAGGTGTCCGCCACCACACCTGGCTGATTTTTGTATTTTTAGTGGAGACAGGGTTTCACCATGTTGGTCTTGAACTACTGACCTCAGGTGATGCACCTGCCTCGGCCTCCCAAAATGCTGAGATTGCAAGCGTGAGCCACTGCACCCAGCCATTTCTGTGGGTTGTCTTTGTATTCTATTGATAGTGTCCTCTGATGCACAGAAGGTTTCCATTTTGATGGAGTCCAGTTCACCTTTCTGCAGTGTCACACCCTCCTTGTTTGATGCTCCTCTTTTCCCTTGACTTCCTTGCCCGGGTTCCTGGTGTTTCTCCTTCCTCGCTGGCTGCCTGTCCTCAGGTCTTCTTTGCTGGATCCTTTAACCGCCTGGGATTCCGTAAAGTGCCATTTTCCTAAGGGCTGGTACCAACCCTCGCCATCTGCAGGTGCAGACCTGAAGGAGCGGGAACAGATGAGTGAAGCAGAGGTGGGGGTGTTTGTCCAGCGACTCCGGGGCCTGATGAATGACATCGGTGAGGATCTGGGTGTGGGGTGGAGGAGGGGGTTTGGGGGTCCCTGCCGATGACAGTCCCGCTACCCCCACCAGCATCTAAGGAGAGTCTTCTTTCTGTTTGGAGTTCTGTGATAAGACAGATGACTCACCCAGGGGGATGGAGGAGGATGACCGAGGGCAGTTCTCTCAGAGAGGGAGTTCTGGCTCTTCAGCTTTTGTGTCCCGCCCCACCCTCAGGGTTCAAGCCTGGCCATTCCAAAGCAGTTAAGTTTCCCCAAGCATGCTTTCAAGTTTTGACAATTGCTGTTACCTTTGCCTGAGATACCCCTTCTTGGTTACTTGAACTTTTACTTGTCCTTCAAGCCCTCCAGTACCTCCTCCTCCAGGAAGCCTTCCCAACCCACCCTCTGAGCTTTTTATTGGAGCACTGATGATCCTGGGTCAATAATGCCTGATACACATTTGTCTTCCCCATGAGACTGAGCCCCATGGGAACAAAGGCTATGTCTGATTCATTCTGTGTTCCCAGTTCCCAGCACCCAGCACAGGGCTTGGCACAAAGAAAGGGAGGCCCCAGGGAGGCCAGCGGATTAGGCCTGAACAGGGATCATCCAGCCCATCCTCCCATTCCTCTTCCCTGGCTGATTCTGTAACTTTCCCTAAAGGGAAAATTGGCTTCTGAGATAACCTGGCTGCGGGAAGCAGAGGTTGTCGTGAGCAGAGATTGTGCCATTGCACTCCAGCCTGGGCAACAACAGCGAGACTCCATCTCAAAAAAAAAAAAAAAGAAAAAAGGAAAAAAAAGAGGCCGGGCGCAGTGGCTCATTCCTGTAATCCCAGCAGTTTGGGAGGCTGAGGCGGGCGGATCACGAGGTCAGGAGTTCAAGACCAGTCTGGCCAACATGGTGAAACCCCCGTCTCTACTTAAAAAAAAAAAAAAAAAAATACAAAAAAATTAGCTGGGCGTGGTGGCGCACATCTGTAATCCCAGCTACTCAGGAGGTTGAGGCAAGAGAATCACTTGAACCTGGGAGGCAGAGGTTGCAGTGAGCCAAGATCATGCCACTGCACTCCAGCCTGGGTGACAGAACAAGACTCCGTCTCAAAAAAAAAAAAAAAAAAGAATTAAGATAACCTGGCTGAGGTTCCATGTAATGTCCCCAGACCTGGGTCCACTGAGGCCTCTGTCCCAACCAGCTTGCCCCTCCCCAGCCTTGAGTCTCTGTCCTGGTCCCACCAGGGCTTTGCAGGCTGAGCCTTTCTTCCTCTCCACAGCAGCCTTCCCTGCACCCACCATTGCGGCTATGGATGGGTTTGCCTTGGGCGGAGGCCTAGAGCTTGCCCTGGCCTGTGACCTCCGAGTGGCAGGTACTGGGCCAGGACTGGGGGCAGGGGGTGGGGCTAGGGAGTCAGGGGTGAGTGAAACAGGGTGAGTCTGGACATTCTGCAGTCAGCCACTGTTCTTGGCTTCCAACCAAAAGCAAAACTAAGGCAAGGCAGAGCACAGAGGGTGCTCAGGCAGAAGCTGCTTCCCCTCCTGGTGCAGCCATTAGCTGCTGTAGTATCTGTGACCTGTCAGAACCTGCTTCCTTCATTTTGGGAATATTTGACCAACCTCAGAGCAATTGCTGTTACGAGCCAAGGAGGTCAAAGAGCAATGTCCAGTCTTCCCATTCTGTCCAAGTCAGATTTATCGACCATGTTTCGGAAAAAGGTGAGCCTCAGGGATAGTTTGTCAATGGCTGAGCTAATCACAAAGGTGCCTGGGCAGGAATACTGGCACCAGCCAAATTTGCATTACTTGTTCTGAGCAATTGAGCTTTGTTTGAAGAATGGGAGGGGATAAAGAAGATAACTGATCATTTTCTCAGGTGACTGACCTGGTGATTAGGAGCAGCCTTCTTGGATGCAGTTAGGCAAAGTCTGAATGTCTTCCCTTCTCCCCCCACCGCTCTCTCCTGCCACCCCAGGAGCAACATATAAAAATGTGTAGCTCCAGGCATGAAAGTAGCTTCTGTCTACACAATGCAGGTCAAAGAGAAGGAACTGACCAGGTGTCCAGGCACCAAAATACCAGGCTGGTCTAGCCCCAACTCTCCTTCTCACATGCCCACGTTCACGCAACTAACTCACAGGGTTTTGGGGAAGACTAAGACGGAGTGAATGTAAAACCCACTCCCTTCTGCCCACGTTCACATGGTCCATGCTGAGGGAATTCAGAAAAGGAGACAGACCCGGGGGGGTGCGTCAGTCAAGGCAAGTTTCTCGAAGGAAGGAAGCAGAACTCAGGAGGACATGGACTGGAACAGTCAGGGCAATTTCAGGCTGTGACAAAGCTGGAACGGACGACTGTAGCAGGAGCAGGAGTCACTGACATTCTAGGCCAGGCCAGGGCTAAGCCAGAGAACCTATTAATAGTAATCCACAAATAGATATGGGGCACCTCCTAGGAACTCTCCTTGTTCCAAGCGTCGTACCTCGTGTGATCCTTAGCGGCTCTCTGAAGCAGACAGAAGAGGGCCAGCCATCTTTCTTCCACCTTTGAGGCTTGGGAAGGGTGAGACTTGCTGGTGACTTACAACTCCATCAAAGGGGCATGGTGAAATAAGGGCCTGGGCTCCTGACTTCTGGGCTAGGGCTCTTCCAAAGGCAGAGTCTGGAGAGGCCTGGCTGTGGCCAGACCATGGGGCAAGTGGCTAGAGGGGCGAGTAGACAGCAGAGGCAGCTGTGGCCCCCGGGATTAGCACTGGGGGACCGGATGGGGGAGGGAGGCCTCACTTTGTTCTATCTGAGCAGCTTCCTCGGCAGTCATGGGACTGATTGAGACCACGCGAGGGCTCCTCCCGGGGGCAGGTAATCGCAACTACAGCACCCGCCCAATTCCACCCCATCCAGGGTCCTTCGCTGCTTTCCTTTTTTGCCCTCTGTTCTGGGCTCTGCCCTCCCACCTGAACCCTGCTCCTCTGAGAAGTCTTGGCTGAGTCCCAGGCTGAGCCTTCTCTGGGTTCCCACTTCCCATGCTGATTCCCACCCTGCTCCCTCCATCCTGGTAGGAGGGACTCAGAGGCTGCCCCGTTGTCTGGGGGTGGCCCTGGCGAAGGAGCTCATCTTCACGGGCCGACGACTGAGTGGAACTGAGGCCCACGTACTGGGGCTGGTGAATCACGCTGTGGCCCAGAACGAGGAGGGGGACGCCGCCTACCAGCGGGCACGAGCACTGGCCCAGGAGATCCTGCCCCAGGTGTGGTGACAGCTCGGCACCAGAAGGAGGGCTGGAGTCATGGGGGAGGCATGTGTGGGGCAGGGTGTCCCCTTGGGCTGCACATCCATTCTCCCAGAGACATATGATTAACCCTCTTTGGAGTTTGTTTAACCATCCAGTAAACACAATCAAGTCAAATTTTAATTCTGAATTAAAATGTAAATTGAATTCCAAAGGGCTGGAACCAAATGGGCTTGAAAGCCCTCTGAATGTAACACTGTCCAGTAGACCATTCTGAGATGAGATAAATGTTCTATACTTGTGCTTATCCAGTATGGGAGCCACTAGCCAAATGATTTAAATTGCAGAAAATGAATGCAGTTCCTCATTCACACTAGCCACATTTCAAATGCTAATAGCCACATGTGGCTTGTGGCTACTATACTATATAGCACAGCCTTAAAATCCCCCAAAGACTGAAAAAGCAAGATTCTAAAATAGATACAGAACTTCCAACCCATATTTCCTACCATACTGCCTGGTGGGATATTCTTGAAATACAACATGTGGGCTGGGCAGGGTGGCTCATGCCTGTAATCCCAGCACTTTGGGAGGCTGAGGCGGGTGTATCACGAGGTTAGGAGTTCAAGACCACCCTGGCCAATATGGTGAAACCCCGTCTCTACTAAAAATACAAAAATTAGCTGGGTGTGGAGGCACGCACCTGTAATCCCAGCTACTCAGGAGGCTGAGGCAGGAGAATCGCTTGAACCTGGGAGGCGGAGGTTGCAGTGAGCCAAGATCGCGCCATTGCACTCCACTGGGCGACAGGACGAGACTTCATCTCAAAAAAAAAAAAAAAAGAAAGAAAGAAAGAAATACAACATACAGGACATGTATTAAGCATTTTTTTCTTTGAAGAGATAGGGTCTCGCTGTGTCATCCAGGCTGGAGTGCAGTGGTGCAATCATGGCTCACTGCAGTTTTAAACTCCTGGGCTCAAGTGATCCTCCCGCCTCAGCCTCCCAAAGTGTTAGAATTACAAGCATGAACCACCGTGACGGGCCAGGCTCATGTTTTAGCCAGATGTGGTAGTTCGAGCCTGTAATCCCAGTTATTTGGGAAAAAGCATTGCTTGAACCCATGAATTCAAAGCTGCAGTAAGCTGGTCACGCCACTGCACTTCCAGCCTGGGCAACAAAGCAAAATCCCGTTGCTAAAAACAAACAAACAAAAACAAAAAGCCAAAAAAAACAACCAAAAAACCCCTCATTAAAAAAATCCTCAAATAGCATGGGAAAGGGTGAGGGATAAAAGACTACACGTTGGGTACGGTGCACCAAAATCTTAGAAATCACCACTAAAGAACGTATCCATGTAACCAAAAGCCACCTGTTCCCTAAAATCTATTGAAAGAAAAAAATTAAAAATCCTCAAACAATAACCTCTCAGCATGGTACCCCAAAGGGTACCATGCTCAGTAGGGAGCAGGTCAGGCCCTGCCCAGGTACAACCCTACCAGCTGCAGGGCCCAAAGCCCTCAGCAGGGATATCTGGGATCTGGCTGTCTGGGGTATCCAAGGCCCTGCGAGGGTCTGCTGGCTTCTCCCAACTCTCAGGGGGCCCAGGATACAGGGGGTTGGGTACAGGAGATCCCAAATTTCCATAAAGATTAAAAGTGGCTTAAATGGAGCTAAGTTAGACTAATTTATAATAAATTTGTCTTAGCCTATAATGCTAGGTACCTTAATGTAGTATCTCAGCTCTTAGAATAATCCAGTTGAACTGATTATCCCCATTTTATCTGTGAGAAAACCCATAAAAGTTCAGTGACTTGTTCATCAAGGTCACAAAGAGTGATTGTAGTATTAGAAAAAAAAACAACACCGGTATTTTGGCATTTATTTTGCACAATACAGAATGCAATATAAAAAAGGTATTTTAAGAGAGCAAAATATGTACAAAATTTTAAAAACAAACTAAATATTTAATGTATTTCAAATACAAAAATTTACAAATGTCACAAAACAAAGTTAACCATACATCATTTTAATATTGACATATATTGAATTAATCATATAAAAGTAACCATTTTGGCTTAGCATGGTGGCTCACGCCTGTAATCCCAGCACTTTGGGAGGCTGAGGTGGGAAGACTGCTTGAGACCAGGGGTTCTAGACCAGGCTGGGCAACATAGTGAGACCTCATTTGTATTAAAACAGAAAAGAAGCCGGGTGCAGTGGCTCATTGCTGTAATCCCAGCACTTTGGGAGGTCAAGACAGGAGGATCACTTGATGCCAGGAGTTTGAGACCAGCCTGGCCAACATGGCAAAACCCTGTCTTTACTAAAATTACAAAATTTAGCTGGGCATGGTGGCTCATGCCTTTTATTACAGCTACTCAGGAGGCTGAGGCACGAGAATCACTTGAGTCTGGGAGGTGGAGGTTGCAGTGAGCCGAGATCGCACCACTGCACTCCAGCCCAAGTGACAGAGCAAGATTCTGTTAATAAAATAAAATAGTATAATTTTGAACAAAAATCCTTTCTTTCCTGTCTCTCAAATGTAAATAATCCTAATACTTCTTAAAACAGATCTTCTTTAATTTGGAGGTGAGGGACTATAGCTTTTTGAAAGCATTTGTCTTTTTTTTTTTTAAGCTTCATCATATATAAATGAAGAGTCTGATGCTATTGCCTAGACAATATTAATGCTGTCAAGTTTCTATTATACTTGGTTAGAAAGTCTCCGAACTAATACAGAACTCTGGGTCACTCAATGGAGTGGCTGATTGCAGCTTTCATATCTAGACCTGTAGACTATAGGGTTTGTCTTTTTGCCTTAACTAAATAACAATCACAAAATAATTCAGATTTCCAAATATACTAAAATATTGGTACTATATAATTACTGATATTTTCAGTACTTAAAAGTAGCTTTGTATACCAAAACACCAGTCTACCAAAAACAAGTACTGGCATGAGTAATCCCAGAGTTGAGACCTTCTGGGTCAACCTGAAAAACAAAACTTCAACTTCCACCTATGTTACTGGGTGCTCAGAATAAAGGTTTCCGGATAGGAGAGGGCCAGGGATGGTGTAGATGGCCACCATCTAGTGGACAAACCACTCTGATAGGGTAGCAAATGGTTCCAGAGTTTTCTCAGCCCAGAAAAAAACTGTCAATATCCACAGTTTGCATCAGATTTCCTTCTTAAATAGTAAATACACATTACACTTTGAGAAATGGATTCAGCTGTGTTTTTTTTCTTTTCTTTTTAGAGACAGGATCTTGCTCTGTTGCCCAGGCTGGAGTGCAGTGGCACGATCATAGCTCACCACAGCCTTGAAGCCCTGGGCCTGAGCAGTCCTTCCACCTCAGCCTCTGAATAGCTGGGACTACAGGTGCAAGCTACTGACTTGGCTAGAATTTGGCTGTTTTCACTCACAAACATACGTACATACCGTTTTTAACTTTAATAAAAGGTTACTTTATTTATTTATTTATTTATTTATTTATTTATTTTTGAGACAGGGTCTGGCTCTTTTGCCCAGGCTGGAGTGCAGTGGCATGATCACAGCTCACTGGAGCATTGACCTCTCAGGCCCAAGTGATCCTTCCACCTAAGACTACTGAGTAGCTGAGACTACAGGTGCAAGTCACCACGCCCAGCTAATTTTTTATTTTTTGTAGAGATGGGATCTCATGATGATGCCCAGGCTGGTCTCAAACTCTTTGGGCAAGCAATCCTCCTGCCTCAGCCTCTCAAAGCCCTGTGATTACAGGCGTGAGCCACTGCACCTGGCCAAGATTACTTCCTTTATTGGGTAGTTACCTAAATAATAACACATATGGCAAGCAAATCTAAAAGAACAGAGGAGTAAGAAGGGCATAAGGTAAAAATCAAAGGCAAGATGACCAGCTAGTCCTGGTTTACCTGTGACTACCCCAGTTTTAAAAGTGGAAGTCCCATATCCCAGTAACCCTTCAGTCACAAGCAAACCCAAACAGCCCTTCATTTCCCAATCCCTCTCTCTCCCCAGATCATCACTATTGTTTCCATACTCTTCCAGAAATTTCCATTGCATATGGAAGGACGTGTATTATGCACATATGCTTACATATTTAAATAAATTCCTTTTAATGGCTTAGAGGACAAGAAATATCTTTCGAGGCTAATCTGTTTCTAACAAATTTTAAAAACAAAATTTAAATATGCATAGTAAGGAATTCAAACATGGAAGAATATAAAACAAAACCTTCATTTTATATAACAAAACATTTATAAACCTTCGTTTATAAAACAAAACAAAGGTTTGGTTTTGTTTTATAAAGGCACACCAGCATTTTGCCAGTTTTTGCCAAATTGCTCTCCTGTGGCATACTCTTTTACTTTTCTATCAATAATGTATGTAAATACTGGTTTCCCCAGTCTCGGCAGTAGTAGGCATATTGATATTTTAGTATTTGCTGGTCTGAGGTGAAAGGGCACAGTACCTCACTGTTTTGATTTGCCTTTCAAGCGTGTAGCAGCTGCTGGACATCCTTCACGTTCGTACTTCTTTTCCGGTGGACCTTTTACATACTCTTTTGTAAATGGTTTAAAAGTTACTTTATACTAACTTTTTTGTAAATCAAGGAAATTCATCTGTCATAAGCATTGCAATTCTTTTTCCCAGTTTTTTTTTTTTTTGAGACTTTTCCTGAGAAAGTTTTATAAACACTTCAAATAATATGATATAGGAAGTAATTCCTCCTTGCCTGGAAGTGGGGCTGAGACTGGAGTGCTAGGGCTGGTGTGGAACCAAGGCCAGTGACAAAGCAGACACTGTTGCTTCTATGTGGCTGTATTAAAATGCACCCGCCCCTCTGCACTGCCCCACAGACCAGGATTTCAACACAGCCCTGTCGACTTGAAAGCCCAAGTTCCTAACCCTGACTTTGTTTCACTCTGCTGGGGTAAAACCTTACCGCAGAGGCTGGCATTTGCTGAAATGAGGTCGAGGAAGTGGGAAAGGTGGTTGGGAGTCCAATCCAAGTCTCACCAATGATTGGATAAACACAGCCAAGTGCTTCACCTCCCTGCACTGCAATCTCACAGCTGTAAAATCACAGCTGGGTCATCAGTGATGACACCAGCCTAGAAGTGTGGGTAGCACCATTAGATGAGTCTGTGGGGGAGGAAAGCACTTTGTAAACTAGTTATGTTGTGCATGTTGGAAGGATGGGCTGAATAACAAGAAACCCAGGTGTTCAGGGATCAGAGTCTGGCTTCTTTCATGATAGAAAAAGAACCTCAGCTAACAGGTTATAGGACTAACGCTAAAGAAACTGTCAGCAGAATGGCTGGAACCAGACCCAGACATCTGCCTCCCTCCTTTAAAACAAAGCTGTGCACCTCAGACCTGCAACTATCAGCCTTGATGCCCTCCTCAACCAAGACTTTTTGCTTTTCCCTAGGCCCCCATTGCCGTGCGGCTGGGCAAAGTAGCCATTGACCGAGGAACGGAGGTGAGAGGGTTTTGGGTTGGGACTTGGGTCCACTAAAGTTGGTCGCGGCTGGGACACAGTGCTTTCAGAGCTCAGACAGCACAGCTGGGAAAAACTCAGGAAGTGGACTCTTCTAACAGACTTGAACTCTGACCTCGTGCTCTACGTCAGTTTACACATCTGCAAATTGGCCAGACAGTATTATTGTTTACATTCTATCCTCATCTTTCTCCCTTGGAGAGAGGATGAGATTGAGGTTAAGAAAGGGTAAATGATTTGCCCAAGGTCTCAGAGGAAGTGAGTAGAAAGAACCCGGGTCTGTGTGGCTGCCAGTCCATGCTGCAAGATTTGTGCTGGCAGTAATGTGGCCTCAGGGCAGGGCTTGGGGTGATGCCTTGGGTGTGGCTAATCCATCTGTCCACCTCAACTCTCCCATCTAGTTAATCCATCTGTCCACCTCAACTCTCCCATCTAGTCACTCATCACACACTGAATCCAGAACAAAGCTGGGAACTGGGATACAGATGGATGAGTTAAACATGGTCACTGCCCCCGGGAGGGGGCAGATACAGACACAAATCAAGGATAATGGTACCACGCTGACACCCCAGAAAGGTTAGAGCTTTGCGGTCCATTATGATATCCATGTGTGGCTTTTAAATTAAAAGTAAAATGTGGTCAGGCGCGGTGGCTCATGCCTGTAGTCCCAGCACTTTGGGAGGCTGAGGCGGGCGATCACGAGGTCAGGAGATCGAGACCATCCTGGCTAACACAGTGAAACCCCGTCTCTACTAAAAATACAAAAAATTAGCCAGGCGTGGTGGCAGGCACCTGTAGTCCCAGCTACTCAGGAGGCTGAGGCAGGCGAATCGCTTGAACCCAGGAGGCGGAGTTTGCAGTGAGCCGAGATCGCACCACTGCACTCCAGCCTGGGCGACAGAGCGAGACTCCGTCTCAAAATAAATAAATAAATAAATAAAATAAAATGTTCAGTTTCTCCTTCACGCTAATCACAGTTCACGTGCTTGACATTCACATGCGGCTAGTGGCTACCATACTGGGCAGTGCTCGGTTAAAGACTGTTTTCTACAGTTGGACTGTGGGAAGGATAAAAATTCCAGAGGAAAAGTATGGGCAAAGGCACAGAGGAGGATAAGCAAGCAGCTCGTCCAGATGAGAGTGAGGGAAGAAGAGAGAGTGCAAGTTCGAGGCACTAGGCTGTCTGGGTTCAAAGACCTGCTCTTCCACATACTGTTGTGAACTTTGACAAATTATTTCACCTTTCTATGCCTCAGGTTTCTCAGCTGTAGAATAGGGATACTAACCCTTGCTGTGAAAATTAAGTTCACACACACATGGTACTTCTCTTAGAATGAGGCTTTCAAGTGCCAGTCAGTGGGCCCTAGAGGCTGGAGCAATTGCCAGGGCCCAGGTCATAAAGGTTCAGAAATTAACGGGTGACAGGAAGCGTGGTGAGGCAGCCGGATGGGAAGGAGAACTCCTCTTCTCTGGCAAAATGTCTCAGTCTGTCTCGTTTCTCCCAGCAGTTTTGTCATAGTTACGAATGGTGTTTCTTCTCTAGGAGGGAAATTCCTTCTCATAGCTATCTCTGCTCATATAGATGTCTGTAGGCAATAGGGTGGGCTGGCTTCCAGTGTGGGTGAAGATGGACAAGGTCAGACCAATCCAGGGAGCACGTCTTTCTTGCAGGTGGACATTGCATCTGGGATGGCCATTGAAGGGATGTGCTATGCCCAGGTATGTAGCAACCAGCCCATGCCTGCTTGTTAACATAGGCTGGGCCAGGCTAGAGGGACTTTGTATGGTACATGACCAATTTTAGAAGGTTCTTCTCAACACAAACAGTCTGACCGCATCCATCGTCCCTCATAAGTCACCTGGAGTGGCTTGAGGAGAGCCATAGTGCTTCTCTCTGGGACTTTTCCCTCAACCATCTAATGTACTGGGGTTCATCCTGCCCACTTAATGCCGAGAATCACAGAACACAGGTCCTTAAGAGGAAGAACCACATCTTTTGCCTCTGTATCAGATGCCACTGTAAAGTTCAGGATGGAGTTGGGAGGTCAAGGGCTTGGTTGTAGCCTGCAGGCTGTGTTCAATGTAGGGGCTGTACACTTGGGACTGACCTATTAAATCTCTTACTCATGGGTGAGTAAAAAATGCTAATCTCCACGTTAACAGATATCCAAAATACTCCTAAGGGGTCCTGGGACTTGGAGAAACTAGTGTGAACCTGGATTCAAAGCCAGATTTCTTACTGCAAAGAATTTTTTTCTCTACTGAGCAGCCTCATGTCAGACCACTGCAGACGGCAGCTGAGTTCTCAGGAGGCATGAAAGCAGTGTGCAAGTGGAGGCTAATGCTGATGGGGCACAGAGAATACAAAGGCTGGCCTGTCTTCCCCAGGAGACAAAGCAGCCACGGAGGCTTATACCTTTGCATGCCTCAAGATCAGAGTCCAGAGACAATGGAAACACTTGGACCCTGGCCTTGTCTTGGGCTGGACAAGCTTAAGCAACTCTTTTTGGGCCTGTGGCCCTGCTCCCCCAAAACTAATATTTTGTACCTTGTTGCAGAATATTCCAACCCGGGACCGGCTAGAGGGCATGGCAGCCTTCAGGGAGAAGCGGACTCCCAAATTTGTTGGCAAATGACCCCCATTTTAACCTTCAGCATGGGAGATGCATGCCCTGAAGAGCAGGATCCAGAAGGAAGATTTGTGGCCAGATTGCCTTCATCATTTCACCTCTCCAGACTTCCATTTCTTCACAAGGATGATGATGGAAATAAAATGACTGGCGTGATGCCTGGAACCAAGGTGCTGATCCTACCACCTACTGCTACCTTCCTTAGCTTCACCCTGGCTAGAAATAATCACGAGGGTTGGGTTTGCTTTGGAAAATGCCTGTCTCTCTACTTGAATGATAAAGAATTAAATTAGATCTCTCTGAGTCTTGGTATCATTGGCTCTCAGCCCCTGACCTCTCTCAGTTATCAGGCACTCATTAGAGATGTCAGAAGATTTTAAGATACCCCTAGTTTCTTCCTGTGAACAACAGAGGTAATAAATAAACTCTGACATCGGTTGAACATGTGTCAGGGGTCAGACTGCAGATCCCAGTCTCTGCCAGTTACTTGCTGTATAACCGTGGACAAATTGTTTAAATGCTCTGGGCCTCAGCTTCCTCACCTACAAAACAAAACTTGTGAAGATTTAGCAAAATAAAAACACTTCATATTCAATAAATATGTTTTAATTGTTAACTTACAGTGTTTTCGTGAGGACCAAACGAAATCATCACTGTGAAACACTTTTGTAAACTACAGGGTGGCAGAAAATTCTTTTTATTTTTTGAGACAGGGTCTCACTCTGCCACCCAGGCTCCAGGCTAGAGTGCAGTGGCGCCATCTCAGGTCACTGCAGCCTCCACTTCCCAGGCTCAAGTGATCCTCCCACCTCAGCCTCTGGAGTAGCTGGGACTACAGGCAAATGCCACCATGCCCAGCTAATTTTTGTATTTTTTTGTAGAGACAGGATTTCGCCATATCACCCAGGCTGGTCTTGAACTATTGGGCTCAAGCAATCCGCCCGCCTGGGCCTCCCAAAGTGCTGGGATTACAGGTGTATGCCACTACACCTAGCCTCCAGGAGACTCTTTGATAGCATTTAGGAGCACTGAGAAGAAAGGGGCAATTAACTCTAATGGAAAGAAGGGAGGATCCGGAAATGGGCAACTAACATTGGAATTGAAGCCTGAAGGATTAAGGAACATTTCAAGTACAGAAGAGGAAGCTTGACACAGCATGAGCAAAGGTGAGGAAGAGGATGATACACTTAGAAAACCAAGAGCAGGCTGATACATAACCATACTGGTCCCAATACCCCTCCCTCCTCTGGTACCAAGGCTACATCTTAAGCTATGCCTTTGCAGTCATTCTCCAACTGGATCTGAGCGCTGGCTAAGCTGAGCCTCAGCCTGGCCTAGAGTCACTAAACCATGGGCATGGATACAATATAAATAACATTGCGGATTTCTGCAAAATACAAATGTGCTCCCAGGGTTATGCTTGCATCCTGGAAGGAAGAATAACACAGGAGAGCCCAGGCCTTTACAGTCAGCACAAACCACACCAGCTATGACAACCCAGGAAAGTAACCACCTTACTGAACTTCCTTTTTCTCATCTGTTAAGTGAGGAAAATAAAACTCACCTACCCGTGAGGATTGTTGTGAATGACACAGAACTTGAAAGGATGTCTTGTACAGAATTGGACTTAACACACTAGTTCCCCTAACACATCCTCACATTAGAATAAGCTAGCATCTGATAACAATGCTCTGAGGTACTAGAACCCAGGTCAGGAAGATATCCTTTTGGAATCATGCAAGAGTGTGAAAAAATACAGTACAGTTTAAGGACTATGGAAGGAAGTAAGGTTACAAATTCTGCTTATCTGGTTGGACTCTGGTAATAGTTTGGAACATGGTTTAGAGTAAGAGAATGAGCTTCTTCCTCATTTGATTTCCAAAGACAGTACATGGTACTCTAGTTAAGAATCTGAACCAAGCCAGCCAAAAGCACAAAAATCTAATCCTAAAATGTGCTAACAGAAATTTACTTTTATTTTCTGAAAAACTTAAACAGATAAATGACAAAACATGTTCATTAACAGTCAACAATAAGGCAAGGAAGGAATTCACACTATTCCTCAGAGCAGCTCCGCAAGGCTTATCAAGTAAGCTTCTGATATAGTTTATACTGTAGTTGAAGCTGGTTTCAGAAAAGCCCATGTTTTCTTTAGTCAGCATGCGGGGTAAGAAAACTCCGTGAACTCTCTGGCAAAGTCTCTTTCTGGCCTTTCGTCTTCCTACCATTTTTGGTCATGGTTCCACCCAAATAAAATGGAGGGATTCAGATTTATCATTACATGTAATCTTTCATCTAAACACTGTCTGCAAATGCCTAAGTCCCACCACGCCCTACAAGCTCACTCACATACACAGCATGTCATGCTCACATAACAGGAAACATGCCAAAGATAGACACCCAAAATTGTAAAAAGGCCAGGTGCAGTGACTCACACCTGTAATCCCAGCACTTTGGGAGGCCGAGACGGGTGGATCACGAGGTCAGGAGGTCGAGACCAGCCTGACCAATATGGTGAAACCCTGTCTCTACTAAAAAATACAAAAATTAGCCGGGCGTGGCGGCATGTGCCTGTAGTCCCAGCTACTCAGGAGGCTGAGGCAGGAGAATTGCTGGAACCTGGGAGGCAGAGGTTGCAGTGAGCCGAGATTGTGCCACTGCACTCCAGCCTGGGCGACAGAGCGAGATTCCGTCACAAAAAAAAAAAAAAAAAAAAAGGTAAAAAAATATATTTCTCTTTTCTCCACCCCTCTATTCATTTGAGATGAGGTCTCACTCTGTCATCCAGGCTGGAGTGCAGTGGTGCAATCTCAGCTCACTGCAACCTCTGCCTCCTGGGCTCAAGTGGTCCTCCCACCTCAGCCTCCAAGTAGCTAGGAGTAAAGGTGCACACCACCACGCTCAGCTAATTTTTGTATTTTTTGGTAGAGACGGAGTTTTACCACGTTGGCAAGGCTGATCTCGAACTCCTGAGTTCAGACAATCCACCTGCCTTGGCCTCCCAAAGTGCTGGGATTACAGGCGTGAGCCACCATACCCAGCCATAGATAAATAAATAAATAAATAAATTCTTTTCCCCGCTCTCCAACAGGGGTTCTGCCTTCTAAACACTACATTTTGAAGCATATGCTTCCCAAGCTTTTCTCATAGCTTCACATGACGATAACAACAAAGGAAATTTAATATAAATATCAAAGTCTCCCTGTAGGTTTCCTTTCTCTTCTAGTGAACAGGTCCCACTCCCATGACAAGCTCCCAAAGGGAAAAAATTGTCCAAGGCTAGAGAAAAGTAACTTGCATAGCTGTTCCAACACAAGCTCCCAGGCCTTCCCAGAGTCCACGGTTTGAGTCTTCAAAATTGCTGCTGAAAGGCTGCAGAATGAGTCCAACTTGACTTGGGATTACAGCTATCATACAAATCCAACCTTTTGTAACATATATAAAATCAACAATCAAAGGCCAATGAGACAGCCAACTCACAAACTCCAATGACAACTGATGTGCAATTACTGCCAGGGCAGAACACCTGACATTGAGGAAGAGCACACACCTCTGAAATTCCTTAGGTTCAGAAGGGCATTTGACACAGAGTGGGCCTCTGATAATTCATGAAATGCATTCTGAAGTCATCCAGAATGGAGGCTGCAATCTGCTGTGCTTTGGGGGTTGCCTCACTGTGCTCCTGGATATCACACAAAAGCTGCAATCCTTCTTCTTCAACTAACATTTTGCAGTATTTGCTGGCTGAAAGAAAATCAAGCAGAGACACTCCATGGACAACTGGCATTTTAAATACTCCCATGTCACCACATTCACCTTGCTGAAGAAACAATACAAAGGTTTAAGCTCTTTGGCCTAGGAATTAACAGATAAAATGAGTCAATTCTAAAGCAGTTCTTCAAAACTTGCTTGGCTTGTATGAGGTAACAGATGCTCATTTTAGTATGTTTACTTCCAGACAACTCTATGCTTCAAACATCTTTTTCTTTTTTTTTTTGAGACAGAGTTTTGCTCTTGTTGCCCAGGCTGGAGTGCAGTGGCGCAATCTCGGTTCACTGCAACCTCCACCTCCCGGGCTCAAGCAATTCTCCTGCCTCCGCCTCCCAAGTAGCTGGGATTACAGGCATGCCCCACCACGCCCGGCTAATTTTTTTGTATTTTTAGTAGAGACGGAGTTTCACCGTGTTAGCCAGGATGGTCTCGATCTCCTGACCTCATGATCCGCCCGCCTCGGCCTCCCAAAGTGCTGGGATTACAGGCGTGAGCCACCATGCCTGGCCCAAACATCTTTAATCCTAGTTAAATGATGTTGAAAACCCCCAGATGTGGCTGGGCGCAGTGGCTCACGCCTGTAATCCCAGCACTTTGGGAGGCCGAGGCGGGCGGATCATGAGGTCAGGAGATCGAGACCATCCTGGCTAACACGGTGAAACCCCGTCTCTACTAAAAATACAAAAAAATTAGCTGGGCGTGGTCGTGGGCACCTGTAGTCCCAGCTACTCGGGAGGCTGAGGCAGGAGAATGGCGTGAACCTGGGAGGTGAGCTTGCAGTGAGCCGAGATCACGCCACTGCACTCCAGCCTGGGCGACAGAGCGAGACTCTGTCTCAAAATAAAAAACACCAGATGTTAAATAAAATATAATTCACAAATTTTTTAATGCATAGATGAATGTACAAACTAAAGGAATTTTCCAGGAGCTGGAAACAAAGAGCACTTCAGCTAGTGTAAGCTAACCTGCAGCTTAGCCTGCGGCAGAAAGAAACTGGCGGTCTTAGTAATTGAGGCATTTCAATTTCAGCTTGCAGAGTTGGAGGCAATATTCCTACATAAAAGTAGACCCACAAAGGGCTAGATAAGAAAAGGGATAAGATACTGAAGCATCTCTGTCATGGATGGGGCTGTAGGGGTATACGGGAGTAGGAGAGGAGAAATCTTCTCATGACCACAATCCCAAGTGGGTAATAAGGTTTGAGTTTACACTACCTGAATATTGCTGAGAAATTAATATAAAAAAACGAGCACAAGCCTATGGAAACCTCTGGAGCACTTCACAGAAGCGAATACAAAACCGCCTCAGGGACACGCCAATCCATTCTAAAATGAATTCTCAGAAAAATAAGCCCTGCTAAAGTTGACTTCACAATCCAAAACTGCCCCCACTCAACATAACACACATAATAAGATCAGATAAAGACCACAAAATAATTACTTTTAAAGAAGAAAAAAAATAGGAATATCTGGAAAAGAAGCAAATAAAAAGTTCAGACATTTAAAAATGTATCACTGAAATTAAAGACAGTCCAAGAGCAGATTTAGACCCAGTTGGCTGGGTACGGTGGCTCACACCTATAATCCCAGCACTTTGGAAGGCTGAGGTGGGTGGATCACCTGAGGTCAGGAGTTTGAGACCAGCCTGTCCAACATGGTGAAATCCCTTCTCTACTAAAAATACAAAAACTTAGACGGGCATAGTGGTGGGCCTCTGTAATCCCAGCTACTCAGGAGGCTGAGGCAGGAGAGTCACTTGAACCCAGGAGGCAGAGGTTGCAGTGAGCTGAGATCATGCCACTGCACTCCAGCCTAGGCAACAAGAGCGAAACTGTCTCAAAAAAGAAAAGAAAAGAAAAAGATTTAGACCCAGTTAAAGAGAAATAGGCCAGACATAGTGGTTCATTCCTGTAATCTAAGCACTTTAGGATGCCTGGGCAGGAGGATCAAGGCAATGTAGTGAGACCATGTGTCTACAAAAAATAAAAAAATTAGCTGGGTGTGATGCTACATAGTCCCAGCTATTCAGGAGGCTGAAGTGGGAGAGTCACCTGAGCCCAGGTTGAAGCAGCAGTGAGCTGTGACTGTGCCACTGCACTCCAGCCTGGGCGACAGAGTGAGACCCTGTTTCAAAAAAAAAAGTAAAAGAAAAATTACCTATCAAGAAATGATAATTAGGCTGACAGTAGACCCCAACAGCAACAATAGAAAATAATGAAAATGGCCAGGTGTCGTGGCTCATGCCTGTAATCCCAGCACTCTGGGAGGCTGAGGCGAACATCTAAGGTCAGGACTTTGAGACCCAGAATGGCCAACATGATGAAACCCGGTTTCTACTAAAAATACACAAAAAATTAGCCAGGTATGGTGGTGCATGCCTATAGTCCCAGCTACCCAGGAGGCTGAGGCAGGGGAACCCCTTGAACCTATGAGGCAGAGATCACGCCACTGCACTCCAGTCTGGGCGACAGAGACTGTCTCCAAAAAAAAAAAAAAAAAAAAAAAACTAAAAGAAAATATTTTTCTCCCAAATGCTAAAATAAAGTAAGTAACTATCTGGAATTCTACATCCAGCTATATTATTATTTAAGAGTAAGAATAGGGGTGGGGTGACAAAGAGATTTTGTCAGTAATGCACTATCAAAACCTGAATCCAGAAAAGGAGTGGTGGGGGTTAAAAAAAAGAAAAAAAAAAAAAAAAACAAGCAGTGATGAGCAAAGAAAATGGTATTCAGCAAATTGAGGCCAGGCGCCGTGGCTCACGCCTGTAATCCCAGCACTTTGGGAGGCCAAGGCGGGTGGATCATGAGGTCCGGAGATCGAGACCATCCTGGCTAACACAGTGAAACCCCGTCTCTACTAAAAATACAAAAAAATTTAGCCGGGCATGGTGGCGGGCGCCTGTAGTCCCAGCTACTTGGGAGGCTGAGGCAGGAGAATGGCGTGAACCCGGGAGGCAGAGCTTGCAGCGAGCCAAGAGTGCACCACTGCACTCCAGCCTGGGTGACAGAGCGAGACTCCATCTCAAAAAAAAAAAAAAAATGGTATTTAGCAAATTGAAATAAGCCTTGACTGTAAAATAGTAACACCTAAACTATCTTTAAGGATATGAAAACAAGGTAGAACTAAAATATATTTATTAGTCATGTTCTTGGATAGAAATACTCATTTGTGGCTGAACATGGTGGCTCATGCCTGTAATCCTAGCACTTTGGGAGGCTGATGCAAGAGGATCACTCAAGCCCAGGAGTTCACAACCAGCCTGGGCAACATAGCAAGACCCTGTTGCTTTTTGTTTTGAGGTGTTTTTTTTTTTAATTTAAAAGAAAAAAAATTAAATACTTTTTTTAAAGAAATACTCATTTGTCATAGGGATGGGAATTATCTTTAGGTTGACTTATAAATCTAACATGATGCTGATAAAAATACTGTAAGGGTTGCTCTTTTTGGGGAGAACCCCAGGCATGGTGGTGTATACCCATAGTCCCAGCTATTTGGGAGGCTGAGGTGACAGCATCACCTGAGCTGAGACTGCAGTGAGCTGTGATCAAGCCGCTGCACTTCAGCCTTGGCAATGAAGTGAGACCCTGTCTCAAAAATAAAATAAATTAAACTAAATTAAAATTAAATAAATTTTAAAAATAAAATAAAATAAGATGCTTACCCTTCTAGTTGTTGTGAAGATTAAATGAGTTATTCATAAAGTGCTTACAACATTGCCTGGCACATAATAAGTACTCAACTGAATTCTAGTTTCGGTTAGTTTCTCCTGTTATAACTGTATGAGTCTGTTTCAGGGCTATTCTGATCCAATCATCTGCTATCTATCTATTCATACGTCAGAACCACTCATGGCACCATTTTACAATGTTAAGAGAAGTCTATGTGCAAGCTCCTAAAAACCACATTTCTTTCCTTCTTTCTTATCTTAGAGACAGGAGTCTTGCTCTGTTCCCCAGGCTGGAAGTAGGCAGTTGCCTGATCATGGCTCACTGTGGCCTTGAATTCCTGCACAAGTGATCCTCCTATCTTGGCCTCCCAAAGTGCTGGGAATACAAGTCTGAGCCACCAGGCTGAGCCCATAAAAAACATTTTTCTGGCCAGATGCAGTGTCTCATGCTTGTAATTCCAACACTTTGGGAGGCTGAGGCGGGCAGATCACCTGAGGTCACAAGTTCGAGACCAGCCTGGCCAACATGGTGAAACTCTGTCTCTAACAAAAATACAAAAATTAGCCAGGTGTGGTGGTGGGCACCTGTAATCCCAGCTACTCGGGAGGCTGAGGCAGGAGAATTGCTTGAACCCAGGAGGCAGAGGTTGCAGTGAGCCAAGATAGCACCATTGCACTCCCGCCTGGGCAACAAGAGTGAAACTCCGTCTCAGAAAAAAACAAACAAACATTTTTGTTAGTTCTTTCCTGTTGATTCTGTCAGATAAACTTTAGAATAATTTTCAGATCCTCCATCTCTTACCTATTCAGTTGAATTATATTACATTAATAAACTGAAAAGAAATGACATCTATATATCTAATAGGTCATTCCATCTTAGAAAATGGAATGGTCTCATAATTATTTCAGGCTTTTAAATTATCTCATAGTTTACTGCATGTCTCATTACCTGTTAAAGGCATTTTAAAATACTTTATGTTTTTGTTAATAAAGTGAGTGGTGGTATATTTTCCCTTAATTACATTTTCTGATTTTTGCTGGCATTATAAAACTATTGGTTTTTATACACTTGCTTTACAGCTAGTCAACAAGCTAAACTTTTAATTCTAAAAGTTGTCTCTTGGGTTTCCTGTTGTAAAATAATAGCTTATATCTCCTATAATACAATGAAAAATTGTATAACAAGTCTCAACAAAGGATATCAACGGAAAATTCTCAAAGGGGATTTTATTTTTTTAAGACAGAGTGCAGTGGCACTAACATAGATCACTGCAGACTCGAAATCCTGAGCTTAAGGGATACTTCCACTTTGGCTTCACTAGATGGATGCCACACATACCTGGCTAATTTTTTTTTTAATGTAAAAAACATGGGTGGGGTCTTGCTATGTTGCCCTGGCTGGTCTCAAACTCCTGGCCTCAAGCGATCTCCTGCCTCGGCCTCCCAAAGTGCTGTAATCCCAGCACTTTGGGAGACACCTCACCTGGCCTCAAAAGGGATTTTAAATTGCAAAACATGCAGAAATATTTAATCTGTCTGGGAAATAACCCCTGACTCCTGGCCTCCCAGTCTCCCAGAGACCATTACACAGAAGCAGGTCCATGTTTTACTAAAGGAAGAGTGTCAGCAATAAACTGTTGAGTGAAAAGACCAAGCTATAGGACAGCATGCACAGAATGAGCCCACTTTGTTAAAAAATATATTTCATATATACAGCACATACTAAATATAGCATGGATATAGAAAAGTATCTGGGAGATTAGGTATCAAATTATTAACGGTGCTTGTCTGTGGGGAATACAAGTAGGAGCAAACTTTTACTTTTTATTTTGCTTGCTATCTACCCCCAAATAGATTACTAATTCTGAAGCATTGCTTTAAGCTAGTAATATCTTTTTTCAGTTTCTTTTTAAACAC